>NC_000021.9:46392191-46546087 GCF_000001405.40 Homo sapiens
GTGTGATTCCTTGTTCCTATGGTTTTGTTTTTGTTTTTGTTTTTTTTGAGATGGAGTCTCGCTGTGTCCCCAGGCTGGAGTGTAGTGGCGTGATCTCAGTTCACTGCAACCTCCGCCTCCTGGGTTCAAGTGATTCTCCTGCCTCAGCCTCCCAAGTAGCTGGGATTACAGGTGAGCACCACCACACCTGGCTAATTTTTTATGTTTTTGGTAGAGATGGGGTTTCACCATGTTAGCCAGCCTGGTCTCGAACTCCTGACCTCAAGTGATCTGCCTGCCTCGGCCTCCCATAGTGCTGGGATCGCAGGCGTGAGCCACCATGCCCGGCCAGCTCCTATGGTTTCTCACTGCCTTCGTTGGGTTGGACGCTTTTGGACATGTTTGCTGCCTTTCACAGGATGTGGGGTTCAGGTCGTGCCTCCTCGTGGTGCCCCAGCCTTTCCACCTGTGGTGCTCGTGTTGACATCTGGGTCCCACAAGCTTATAATTCTTTGGCCCAGGGGGCGTTTTCCAGGGTGGAAGACATTGGTCCCACGGGATGTTTTAAACTCTGCCTATGACTGTGCCCACACTTTGTCCTCTCCTTTTCTTGGTTCATTTCTGTCATTCTCGTTTATCCCGTTCTATTTTTTATATAAATTTCTGATGCTGAAGGATTAGCCTGGTGTTTTTCCCCTCGTGTATCTTTTCTTGTCCTTTTATTTTAAGTCTTTTTTAATACTCTGTTTTAGTTGTGCCTTGTATGGATACCATATTCATGACTGTTTTTTAAAAGCCTGTCTGTGAGTATCTTCTTTTAGTCATTTAGCCAAGTTTTATTTGCCGCACCTCCTGGCGTTGGGCCCTTGCTCGGGGGTGGATTTTCCTTGGCCAGCTGTGAAGTCCTCACTGCGGTGTTGCCTGCTGCCGGGCTCAGGGCGGCGTCATCTCCCCACGGGCCTCTAAGCCCTGTTGCCCCCGCACTCTGTGTGTCCACAGGGGGAGTGCGGGGGAACCTCCAGGGCCAGGAGGGCCTGGAGTCTCTTCAGGTCCCTTCCTCCACCAGTGAAGTGGTGCTGGAGACATGACTCGAGATCCTGTTTCTTTTCCTTTGACGCCCTCGTTTTCCTGCATCTCCTCAGGATTTTTCAGGGTGTTTTCAGGAACGTCTCTGACGTCCTGCATCGCTCTCAGCATCTTTGCCCTGGCGGTGCTGTTGCATCTGGGCGTCCGTTGTCGCTGTTTCTCCGATGCTTTCTCTGCTTGTCCTCTGCTGTCCGGGGGCAGCCTCATGGTCGGGCCCCTCCCTGTAGACTCTGCTGCCCCATTTCCAGTGTCTTCGCGCCCAGCCAGCCGGCGCTGGGCCACACCCCGCCGGGGGAGACCACCTGGTGTTTCATCACCTCGAGCCCTTGGACTTCAGCCAGTCACTTCGTTTGTCAGGCCTCCGGGCAGATAAAGGGGTGTGTGGCCTGCATTCTGTTGAACGGCCCGGTGAGGCCGGGGCCCTGTGGCTAGCGCCCCCGTGTCAGGTGCCTGTGTCGTGCCCTGGGCCTGAGCACGTGGGTCTGAGCACTGCAGGGCTTCTTCCCAAGGCTGTGGTGGCCCGTCTGCTGCCTTGCCTCTGGTTCATCTCCTGCCACAAAGCCTGGCCCACCAGGGAGTGTCGTGACAGGTGGATGTGGGCCCTGGGTGTCCATAGCCTGGCTGGGCTCCCTGCAGGCCCCAGGATTGAAGCTGAGGCTTACCATGGGCCTTGCAGTGGCAGGCGCCTGGCATGCCGGGAGTGGATCTCATGGAGCCCTTTCGCAGGCTCGGGCCAACTTTGTCACTGGGAAATTCTCGTTGTTTCTCTGGGGTCCTCTTTGTTTGCTTTCCTTTCGACATGGTTAACCCTGCCCTAGTTTCTCACTCTGGTTTGTTTTCTTTCCTTTCACCCTGGCTCTGCGGTTGTGTGACTCTGCGCCAGCTACCGGCCCTGACCACTCTCCCGGCAGGGCCTAGGCTCTGACGGTGGCGTGAACCCGGCCCTGGTGTGCAGCGGCCCTGCCTCGCCGTGTTGCGTGACGCCCCCTTCGCTGTGTGGTGTTTTGTGGCTCTCTTCAGGTGTTGCCATCTGTCCCTTTTGTTCTCTTTGTCTCCTTGAAAAGTTGATGGGCCTGCAGCCGCACAGGCAGTTGTGGGCATGGTGGGCGCTGAGTCTGGAGGTTGTTCAAGGCCAGCAGCGTTGCCCAGAGCCCTGCTGCTGACGCTGCCGTCACTGGTTCTAGCTCTCACATTCTCAGCTGCACGTTTCTGTTTCCACCTCAGTAAACGCAAACTCTTGTTCATAGGCACAGCTGTCACTGCAGCACACAAGGACTCAGGTTTGTAAAGACAAACGATTGATTTGTGTGTGACGTGCTGTTTGTTTGCACTGGATTTTGCAAATTATTTACTAAAGAAAAGTACTTCAGACCTTTTGTGGCAAACAATAAATACAGCGATACTCTAATCTTCAGTATTCATAAAAATGGGTGGAGTTGTCCCATTTTAACGCCCCAGCAAAACAGGAGCATTTCTCTAACGGTCTTTACTACAGTGCCTAAGCTACAGTTTGTGCTGCTTTTCAGAAACTGATGTCTTGTGATAGTTACAGCTGTTCTTGGGCTGGGTCCCAGCTCTGGTCTCCAGGGAGGGCCTGGGCCCCCTGGATCCCCTGTGCCTGTTCAGCGTGGGTGTCACCTGCTTCGCCAGCTGGGATTGCGATCCTCGTGTGCCTCCCTGAGTCTGCGTGCATGTCAGCAGGCACCCTGCCCCAGTGCCCCTGGCCCTGAAGATGGTGATGTTCTGGGCCAAGCACAGCCCAGGTCGTGTCCAGGCCCAGGGAGTGCAGTCAGGGGAGCAGCTGCCCTCAGGCCTCGCCGCACGTCTCAGGTTGTGAATGTTACCGCAGCAGCATGTTTACAGCGGACTCGCCGTTAACTGCTGACAGTGGCATCAACATTTATTGAGAATGTTACTTGCATTGGTCATGATAGTTTGTGATAAAAGACTTAACACTTTTACAAATCAAAATGATTTTTTGGAAGCTGGTGAAATGTCAGTTAACATGTATGAATTTAATATTTTAGTTTTTGGGTGGCTTAAAGACTTCAGGATTCAGGCCGGGAGTGGTAGCTCACAGCTGTAATCCCAGAACCAGACTCCATCTCAGAAATAATTATAATAAAATAGAGACTTCGGGACTCAGCAGCAGAGACTCCATCTCAGAAATAATAGTAATAAAATAGAGACTTCAGGACTCAGCAGCAGAGACTCCATCTCAGAAATAATAGTAATAAAATAGAGACTTCAGGACTCAGCAGCAGAGACTCCATCTCAGAAATAATAGTAATAAAATAGAGACTTCAGGACTCAGCAGCAGAGACTCCATCTCAGAAATAATAATAAAATAGAGACTTCAGGACTCAGCAACAGAGACTCCATCTCAGAAATAATAGTAATAAAATAGAGACTTCAGGATTCAGCAGCAGACACTCCATCTCAGAAATAATAGTAATAAAATAGAGACTTCAGGATTCGGCAGCAGACACTCCATCTCAGAAATAATAGTAATAAAATAGAGACTTCAGGATTCGGCAGCAGAGACTCCATCTCAGAAATAATAGTAATAAAATGGAGACTTCAGGACTCGGCAGCAGAGACTCCATCTCAGAAATAATAATAATAAAATGGAGACTTCAGGACTCGGCAGCAGAGACTCCATCTCAGAAATAATAGTAATAAAATAGAGACTTCAGGACTCAGCAGCAGGCACTCCATCTCAGAAATAATAGTAATAAAATAGAGACTTCAGGATTCAGCAGCAGAGACTCCATCTCGGAAATAATAGTAATAAAATAGAGACTTCAGGATTCAGCAGCAGAGACTCCATCTCAGAAATAATAATAATAAAATGGAGGCTTCAGGACTTAGCAGCAGAGAGCCCCTTTTTCCAAGACGCTTTTTCATCTGCAGTTTCCACTTGGGCCGGGGCTTCGCCACCCCAGGTCTCAGGCTGGTTTTGCTGCTGGAAGAGAATTTTTGAGGCTAGGCGATTTATCACAGACACACGTTTGTGACTTACAGTTCTGGAGGCTAGAAAGCCTAAGGTCAGGGTGCCAGCAGGTTTGGTGTCTGGTGAGGTACCCATCTCTGCTTCTAAGGCAGAGCCTTGCACACTGTATCCTCCGGAGTGGAGGGCTGGATCATCCTGGGGCAGAGGCAGAAGGGCCGAGTGGGAGGACCACTCCCAAAGCCGCTTATTGAGGCATTAAAACTGCTGTGAGGGTGGAGCCCTTGCGGCCTCGTCACCTTTTCAAGGCCCTTCCAATACCATCACTCTGGCAGTTAAATTTCAACATGAGTTTTGGAGGGGACAGAAATTTAAACTGTGGTACCCAGTTAATTTTATTTATTTATTTATTTATTTGAAGGAGTCTCACTTTGTCACCCAGGCTGGAGTGCAGCAATGCAATCTGGGCTCACTGCAACCTCCATCTCCCGGATTCAAGTGATTCTCCTGCCTCAGCCTCCCGAGTAGCTGGGATTACAGGCACACGCCACCATGTCCAGCTAATTTTGTATTTTTAGTAGAGACAGGGTTTTACCATGATGGCCAGGCTGGTCTCAAACTCCTGACGTCGAGTGATCCACCCGCCTCGGCCTCCCAAAGTGCTGGGATTACAGGTGTGAACCACCCCACCCGACCTAGATTCGCTTTTGATTTACCGATGGGGCGTTTGCCTTTCCCCTAGACACGTCACAACCCCAGGCTCTCAGCACCGTCCGTCGTCTGCTGGGACTGGGCTTAGTCGTGTGTTTCTGTCTGGGAGACTGTACTGAAGGCAGAATTCCTAGAGAATCACCCACATGTCACTCAGAAGTATTCTTCTCAGGCTTCAGAAATTTGCTTTAGCCAATGTTGTTTTAAAAGATGGGCGTTTTACCCCGAATTGAAGTGACTTCATTTTCGGTGGGTTTTGACTGAATCACCATCAGGAGATGCACGTGTCATGCACCAGCCTCTGAGGTGCGGGGGTGTCCCCGTGTCTGTCCTGTTTGCATCCTTAGCTCTCCGGAAGGAAGTGGAGGATCTGACCAAAGAACAGTCGGAGACCAGGAAGCAGGCTGAGAAGGACCGCTCAGCCCTGCTCTCCCAGATGAAGATTTTGGAGTCTGAGTTAGAAGAACAGCTGTCTCAGCATCGCGGGTGTGCCAAGCAGGCGGAGGCCGTCACTGCCCTGGAACAGCAGGTGGCATCTCTGGACAAGCATTTGCGCAACCAGCGGCAATTCATGGATGTAAGAATTCTGAATAATACATTTTTTTGCATCACTAAAAGTTGCCGTTACAGCATGAACTTCTTTCCAGATCGTTACGTAAGCTTCTGCAGTAGGATGTTGAAGAGGGCGCCCCACACCTGCTGCACAGGTGCACCCAGGTCGCTGACTCTTGGTGGGTGTCTTCTTGCCCACATGTTGTGGCGCAGCCCTCTGAGGGCCACCTCCCATGGTCTTGCCATGCTCCTTCTCACAGTCACGGAGGCGTCACTTGGGGCCCGGGCTGGGCCTGTGCTGCAGCTCTCACTGGTTCTTGTCCTCCCACCCACCAGTCTCAGACGTTCCTCTGTGTTCCATGCAGAGAGCTGTTTTTCTTTACTTAACTCCATTTTACAAAGTGACTGTGATGAGGGGGGTATTTGGAGTCTGAGCTGCTGGGCAGTTGCACTTGTACGTGCAGTGGAAGCCTGGGTGGACCTTCGCTGCAAGGGGCACGCCAGCCCCGTTGGGGTGGTCCCAACACGCTGCCTCTCCTCCCAGGAGCAGGCAGCCGAGCGGGAGCACGAGCGCGAGGAGTTCCAGCAGGAGATTCAGAGGCTGGAGGGGCAGCTCCGCCAGGCGGCCAAGCCGCAGCCCTGGGGCCCTCGCGACAGCCAGGTGAGTCAGTGCAGCGTGCAGTGCTGCTGGTTGCTGTCTTTCACTGTGTTTTTAAGCTTTAACTTTCTTTAAATTTTTGCCTTCCATGTACATGAAATCGGCAGCAGGCGCCGCTGGATGGAGAGGTGAGGAGGCGTCAACGAGATGGGCACTCCCTGCGCTGGCGCCCAGGCTCCCCTGCGCTCGCTGGGACTGTCCTGCCACCCACTCGCTTTTCTTGCTCTTGTTTGGGCTGCAGCCATCTGCTTTCTCTTGTCTGAGGAAGCTGTAGTAGGTTCGTTTATTTTTTTAAAAAATTAATGGTGGATTCACACACAGTTGTAAGAGGTAAGACTCGGATCCCTCGTGCCTGGCACGTGGTTCCCCAGAGGTCTCATCCACAGAGCCGGAATGCAGTGTCACAGCCAGTATGGGCAGGGATCTGGTGACGCTGCAGTGCCTTCTGCCCCCCACGGACCCTCGTGTACTGGGTCACGGCCATGCCGCCGTCCTTTCTCGGGCAACCACTCATCTGTCGTCTATTTCTAAAACTTTACCATCTTCCTGATGGGTGAAGCGTGCCTGTCATCTTGGGGGATTGACACCATTCACCGAGCCTGACTCTCTGGAGATTGATCCAGGTTACTGAGTGTAGCCATAGTTTGTTCTTTATGTTGCTGAGAAGTATTCCATTCTTTTTTTTTCTTTTTCTTTTTTTTTTTTTTTTTGAGTTGGAGTCTCATGCAGTTGCCCAGGCTGGAGTGCAGTGGCGCGATCTCAGCTCACTGCAAGCTCCACCTCCCGGGTTCACGCCATTCTCCTGCCTCAGCCTCCCGAGTAGCTGGGACTACAGGTGCCCGCCACCACACCCCGCTAATTTTTTGTATTTTTAGTAGAGACAGGGTTTCACTGTGTTAGCCAGGATGGTCTCCATCTCCTGACCTCGTGATCTGCCTGCCTCAGCCTCCCAGAGTGCTGGGATTACAGGCGTGAGCCACCGCGCCGGCTGTAGTATTCCATTCTTTTCTATCAGAATAGATTTCATTTTCCTAACAAATTCTGTATTATAGAGAATGCCTTTCTTAACACAACATCACCCTATACTTCCTTTAGATCTCTGTTCAGCCTCTGGGTCTAGGTCTCCCTGTGCAGCCTGTGGGTCTGGGTCTCTGTTCAGCCTGTGAGTCTGGGTCTCTTTTCAGCCTGTGGGTCTAGGTCTCCCTGTGCAGCCTGTGGGTCTAGGTCTCTGTTCAGCCTGTGGGTCTGGGTCTCTCTGTGCAGCCTGTGGGTCTAGGTCTCCCTGTGCAGTCTTTGCGTCTGGGTCTCCCTGTGCAGCCTGTGAGTCTAGGTCTCCCTTTGGGTCTAGGGGAGGGCATAGGGCATCTATTTTGTCTCTGTTGTTTTGGGTACTTTTTTGTTTGGAAAATGGGTTTTTATAAAACATTCTATTGTATTCCTCAAGCATTTTTTGTTGTTTTAGGTTGAGTTGTTACAACAAAAGTTGAGAGAAAAGTTGGATGAATTTAATGAATTGGCTATACAGAAAGAGTCGGCAGATAGACAAGTGTTAATGCAGGAAGAAGAAATTAAACGTCTGGAGGAGATGAACATCAACATCAGGAAAAAAGTGGCCCAGCTCCAGGAAGAAGTGGAAAAACAGAAAAACATCGTGAAAGGGCTGGAACAGGTAAAGCGTCTCCATGTTGTGGTTGGGCACGTGGTGAGGTGTCCCGCAGGCATGGCTTCATCGCTGAGCTGGCAGGGAGTGGGCAGGGCGTCCTTCTTCACTGGCAGCCACCACGTCTGCACCAGAAACACTGGCGTCAGGGAGAAACAGAAGTCATTGGTGACGGGTAGCAAGAGTACTTTGACCTTTCTGGAGATTGTTGATTTTATTTACTGTAGTAGGATTTATACAATTTCTTTATGTCTCAAGAACTCTGAATTTATCCTTAATATTTCATAAAGTAAACATTTAAGATTTTAGGTTTAAAAAAATCTTAGCTTATTAAATACTTTGATGAGAGCCCCTTGTAATTGTTTCAATCTTTGAGCTCAGGAACTCATGTCAGCTCCCAGTGAAGAGATCTCCAGTGATGGTTTTGCATTGCTGGTGTTTGCCGTGTTGTGTGTGTTCGTTTGTGTCTGAGAGTTTAAAGAGGGGCTGGAGCACTGAGCCAGGTGGGCCATCTCATGGCTGGAGGGGGCAGGGCTGCCTGTCTGCATTTCTGGGTAGCGGCTGTGCCCTCCATTGTGAGCATTTAGCTAAAAGGAATTCAGCTGACTTCTATGAGGTTAAAAGGTTACTTGAAAAGAGGCTCAGTAAGAAATTTGATTTTAGAATTAGTAGTTTGGCCTCAGACACAGATGAGAGGAGGAGTCTTTCTCAGGTGTGTCTGATTCTTTTTTTTTTTTTTTTTTTTTTTTGAGACAGAGTCTTGTTCTGTCACCCAGGCTGGAGTGCAGTGGCGCAATCTCGGCTCACAGCAACCTCCTCCTCCCGGGTTCAAGCGATCTCTCCTACCTCAGCTTCCTGAGTAGCTGGGAGC
The DNA here is from genome assembly GCF_000001405.40 of Homo sapiens. Lineage (NCBI taxonomy): Eukaryota > Metazoa > Chordata > Mammalia > Primates > Hominidae > Homo > Homo sapiens. Next base: position 46,400,659 of record NC_000021.9, read on the forward strand.
ACAGGCACGCGCCACCACGCCTGGCTAATTTTTGTATTTTTAATAGAGATGGGGTTTCACCATGTTGGCCAGGCTGGTCTCGAACTACTGACCTCAGGTGATCTGCCCGCCTTGGCCTCTCAAAGTGCTGGTATTACAGGCGTGAACCACCACGCCCGGCCAAGTGTGTCTGATTCTCGTAAGTGCTGATGAGAATTATTAAACTGGGGCCTTTCCTCAGGCCCTGACGTGTTTCCGTTCCGCTGTCGCAGGGAGGACCGCTGAGCATCACCTGCACTTGGAGCGGAGTTGTCCCCCTGGCCGGCCACTGCACACATTTCAGTGACAGCTGCTCCAGGGCGGCTTCACCCCTTCTGCCTTCACTCAGCGAACGTTTACTGAGCTTAGTAGATGCCAGGGTTAGAAAATGTGTTTTTATCCCTTCGTGAAATTTGGACTGTGTATGCAATTTTATATGTCATGCTCTTGCGCATGTAACGTATTGTGACCATTTTCGTCATATTAAATATTGTTTGAAAAATTTTTTCTAGGCAGGTAATATTCATTATATGAGCATACCATCAGCCATTGCCCTATTTTTTTTGGCAAGTTCTTGTCAGTTTTGAAAATATTGGTAATAGTTTGGTGAATATTACTGTAGATAAATTCCTCACAGTGGACTCGGGCACAGGCTGTGGCTCTCAGTCACGTCCTGCACCAGGCAGGCCTCTGCTGGGAGGTGGCTGGGTCCTGGGTGCCAGTGTTGCCTGGTGTGTCACTGAGTGCAGGGGCGTGCAGGTCCACCTGCTCTGCTTCAGGTGCAGCTAAAGATGGTCTGTGCTTTAACAGGCAGCAGTTGAGGTACTGAATTCCCAAATATTTGCCTAAAATAGAGTTCTTTTTTTTTTAATAGGATAAAGAGGTGTTAAAGAAACAGCAGATGAGTAGCTTGCTTCTGGCGTCCACGTTGCAGTCTACACTAGATGCAGGCAGATGTCCCGAGCCTCCTTCGGGCAGCCCTCCTGAGGGTCCAGAAATACAGTTAGAGGTGACACAGAGAGCACTCCTGCGGCGCGAGAGCGAGGTGAGTGCAGAGTGGGGCCATGGGACTGCCAGCCCTGGGTCAGTGTCCAGTGGGCTTCTCTGTGGCAGATCCGATGTCCAGATAACACAGGCGATGGGCTTGTGACCACTGTGTATTCTTTTCTTTTCTTTTTTTTGTTGTTGTTTGAGACAGAGTTTTGCTCTTGTTGCCCAGGCTGGAGTGCAATGGTGCAGTCTCGGCTCACTGCAACCTCCGCCTCCTGGGTTCAAGCGATTCTCCTGCCTCGGCCTCCCGAGTAGCTGGGATTACAGGTGCACCCACCGCCACGCCCGGCTCAGTTTTGGTATTTTTAGTAGAGACAGGGTTTCACCATGTTGGCCAGGCTGGTTTCCAACTCCTGACCTCGGGTGATCTGCCTGCTTGAGCCTCTCAAAGTGCTGGGATTACAGGCGTGAGCCCATGCCCAGCCTGACCACTGTGTATTCTTTGCAGTTTTACCATTTGTGTGCGGGTACAGGTACAGGGTAGTAATTGCTTTAGGCATGTGCATTTAAATATCTCAAAGCTATTTTAATAATGTCTTAATTATTAATATTAATAGAATATTAGATGACTTTTAATACTTTTCTTCTTTTGTTTTAATGAAAGGTTTTGGACTTAAAAGAACAGCTAGAAAAGATGAAAGGTGACTTAGAAAGTAAAAATGAAGAAATACTACATCTGAACTTAAAATTGGACATGCAGAACAGCCAGACTGCTGTCAGCCTCAGAGAACTTGAGGAAGAGAACACGAGCTTGAAGGTAAGCTACCAAAGGTCCACGTGACGCCCGAGTTCATGTTGCTTATGCCGGTGCCGAGCGGCCACCAAGACCCTCATCGGGGAGGCGAGTCTCTGGTCTTCACAGACGCCCGTGGCCCCCATGTGGCAGACAGTGCAGAGAGCGCCCGATTCTGCCTGGGGACATGTGCATGGAAGCAGCTTTCTAGGGATCTTGAGTGAGGAACCAGCGACCCCTGCCCCAAACTGCTTTCTGATTGCAGCACTGATAGGGATCTGAGGAGAGGCACTTCCCTAGGGCAGCACCCCAGGGCTGTGAGAGGCGTGAAGCTATTGGGCTGTTGGTGGCTTGCTCTTCTCAAGGAGGTGACTTGAGTAAGTGGCTACTCACTGTTTCTCTTCCCACTGGCATGATGGGAAAAAAATCTTAAGAACAAATTTTTTTTTAAATTTTTGTGAGTACATAGTAGGTGTATATTAAAAAATCTATTTTTAAATCTTTTATTTTAATGTAGCCGTGCTTTTGAAGCAAAAAAGAAAACCAAAACCAACCTGTTTATAGTAGAGATGATATTCAAAATTGCAGAGCATTCATAACTTCACAGATGCCCTTGAAAGACCTTGTGTAGAATCGTGTGTGTGGTGCCCACACAACACGTGCTCAGTGAATGAACACAGCGTGGGAGAATTAGTGTGTGTGGTGCCCACGCGGCGCGTGCTCGGTGAATGAACACAGCGTGGGAGAATCGTGTGTGTGTGGTGCCCACGCGGCGCATGCTCGGTGAATGAACACAGCGTGGGAGAATTGTGTGTGTGGTGCCCACGCAGCGCGTGCTCGGTGAATGAACACAGCGTGGGAGAATTGTGTGTGTGTGGTGCCCACGCGGCGCGTGCTCGGTGAATGAACACAGCGTGGGAGAATTGTGTGTGTGGTGCCCACGCGGCGCGTGATTGGTGAATGAACACAGCGTGGGAGAATTGTGTGTGTGGTGCCCACGCGGCACGTGCTTGGTGAATGAACACAGCGTGGGAGAATTGTGTGTGTGGTGCCCACGCGGCGTGTGCTCGGTGAATGAACACAGCGTGGGAGAATTGTGTGTGTGTGGTGCCCACGTGGCACATGCTCGGTGAGTGAACACAGCGTGGGAGAATCGTGTGTGTGTGGTGCCCACGTGGCACATGCTCGGTGAATGAACACAGCGTGGGAGAATCGTGTGTGTGTGGTGCCCACGCGGCACGTGCTTGGTGAATGAACACAGCGTGGGAGAATAGTGTGTGTTTGGTGCCCACGCGGCGCGTGCTCGGTGAATGAACACAGCGTGGGAGAATTGTGTGTGTGGTGCCCACGCGGCACGTGCTCGGTGAATCAACTCAGCGTGGGAGAATCGTGTATGTGTGGTGCCCACGCGGCGTGTGCTCGGTGAATGAACACAGCGTGGGAGAATTGTGTGTGTGGTGCCCACGCGGCGCGTGCTCGGTGAATGAACACAGCGTGGGAGAATTGTGTGTGTGGTGCCCACGCGGCGCGTGCTCGGTGAATGAACACAGCGTGGGAGAATTGTGTGTGTGTGGTGCCCACGTGGCGCGTGCTCGGTGAATGAACACAGCGTGGGAGAATTGTGTGTGTGGTGCCCACGCGGCGCGTGCTCGGTGAATGAACATAGCGTGGGAGAATTGTGTGTGTGTGGTGCCCACGTGGCGCGTGCTCGGTGAATGAACACAGCGTGGGAATGCTCCCTGAGTGAACACAGCGTGGGAGAGTCTCAAAAAACAACAACAATAACAACAAAAAAAATTTTCAAATTGATTTTCCATTTTTCCAATTTAAAACTGTAGGCTTATTTAATTAGGACATTTCATATCTGTAGGGTCAGTGGAATATTTCCCTATTAAGGTTCTGTCGGCTCTGTTTTGATATGGTTGTTGTTATTACCATTTCCACCGGCATTTCTGCCCAACAAAGAAGAGGAGATAGTGCGTGTGAACGAGCAGCTCTAGGCACCGCAGGTTTACCTCGGCGAGGTACGCCACTCCCTGGTGCTGGGGGAGAAGGGGCTCTTCTCACGCTTCTGGCTACGCCTGCGTCTCCTGTACGAAGTCCTCATAGTTTCTGGGTGTGATTGACTGGGGCCTTGGCTTTCCAGGATGACAGTCTTCTGTTTCCTCATACAATATTTATAATACTTTTCAAAATTAATTTTATCAGTTGGGCACGGTGGCTCAAACGCCTGTATTCTCAGCACTTTGGGAGACTGAGGAGGGTGGGTTACTTGAGCTCAGGAGTTCGAGACCAGCCTAAACAACATGGGAAAACCCCATCTCTACTAAAAATACAAAAATTAGCCAGGCATGGTGACACACCACTCCGGAGACTGAGGCAGGAGAATCACTTGAACCCAGGAGATGGAGGATGCAGTGAGCTGTGATTGTGCCACTGCACTCCAGCCTGGGCAACAAAGCAAGACCCTGTCTCAAAAACAAAATTAACTTTATGGCCGGGCACAGTGGCTCTCACACCTGTAATCCCAGGAGTTTGGGAACCTGAGGTGGGAGGATCGTTTGAGCCCAGGAATTCGAGATCAGCCTGGACAACGTAATGAGACCCATCTCTACAAATTTTTTTAAAAAATTTAGCCAGGCATACACCTATAGTACCAGCTACTCTGAAGGATGAGATAGGAAGATCACTTGAGCCTGGGAGGCCAAGGCCACAGTGAGCTGTGATCATGCCACTGTAATCCAGCTGTAATGACAGAACAGGACCCTGCCTAAAAAAAAATAATTTTGGAGGGGACCATAGAAGTAAGGAGAAGTTTGTCTCCAGTTTGTCACTTTTAATTTCCCTTTGACAGAGGCTACTGAGATGTTATCTGTCTTAGTATCTGATTGTATCTTGTATATTTGGCAAAAATTTAAAAATAGCCTTTTGGGTTACATTGAAGAATGCCTTTTATGGCCAGGAGCGGTGGCTCACGCCTGTAATCCCAGCACTTTGGGAGGCCCAGGCGGGCAGATCACTTGAGCTCAGGAGTTCGAGACCAGCCTGGCCAACATGGTGAAACCCCGTCTCTACTAAAAACACAAAAGTTAGCTGGGCCTGGTGGCCGGTGCCTCTAATGGTTACTTGGGAGGCTGAGGCAGAAGAATCACTTGAACCCAGAAGGTGGAGGTTGGCAGTGAGCCGAGATTGCGCCACTGCACTGCAGCCTGGGCGACAGAGCAAGACTCGTCTCAAAAAAAAAAGAATGCCTTTAAAAACCATTGATTACTTTTCAGAAGAAGTTGTATTATTTGTCTATAGTGCTCTAGAACTTGACCTCTAACTATAATCTTATATAATGAAAAATATATAAAAAATAGTTTACATGTTAAGGACAGTATTTTTGTTCCATTAAGAATTGAAAGCTTTTTAAGGACAATCCCCAATATTTTCTTGTGGGATTTTTCTTACAGATATGTGCAAATTCGTACATCCTTCATTTTCTGTAATTCTCCTAATTTTTTGTAAAGATGCGGATGCTATTTTGCTTTATATAATAAAGAAAAGTAAAATTCCATTTAAAGGTTTGACTCTTGTTAGGTTTCCAGTTATTTCAAGGAAACCACATTTGCTGTATTCTACCCTATTTTATGTCAGTGAAGATGTTTGTCTTCTAGAAGCGTCTTTTACACTTGTGGGGAAACGGAGCTCCCGTCTCCCTGGCGTGGTCGTGGTTGTTGTCACTTGTTCTGTACTGCCGTCCTCCGGGGCTCCAGCCATCCTAACACCTCATCCTCAATGTGGGCCCTCCCTCCCTGTGTGGCTTATTCTAACTCTGGGGTTAGTGATGTTTCTTTAATTTTACCATTTACTTCTCCCTTATTCTACAGGTTTTAATAAAGAGGTCTCACGTCTTTTGTTAAATTTATCCTTAAATATTTTAGGTTTTTTGCACTATTGTAAGTGAGATTTAAAATAATTATCTAGTTGTTTACCGTGAATACACATACACCTTTTGTATGTTAACCTTGCTGTTACCTTGCACAATTTATGTATATTAGTAGCGTTTTGTGGATTCCTGAAGGCTTTTTATGTATAAGATAACATCATCTTCAGATAAAGACAGTTTTATTTCTTTCCAATTTTTGTTATTTCCTTCTTTTATTACAATGTCTAGCACTCCCAGTACAAAGTTAAAACTGGCTAGGGCAGTCATCTTTGCCCAGCTCCTTGTCTTACAGGGAAGTGGTCAGTGTTTTGCCATTAAGTATATTAGCTTTAGGTTTTTCACAGGTGCCTTTTTATCAGATCAAGGAAGTTCTGTTATATTTCTAGTTTGCTTTTTCTGGATCTATTGAAATAGTGATGATATTTTTCTCTTTTATTCTACTAATAAGGTTAACTTTATTGAGTGATTTATTTCTTGGAGATTAAACTAACCTTGCGGTTCTAGGATAAACCATACCTGGTAGTGATGTACTGCCCTTTTCATATGTTACAGATATTACTGAATTTGATTTGCTAATATTTTGTTAATGGTTTTTGCATCTGTGTTCATGAGGGATGTTGGTGCATAATTGTCTTTTCTTGCAGTGTTCCCTAAGGCTTTGTATGAAGGTTATGTTAGTCTCATAAAATAGATTGGGAATTTTTTCACTTTCTTTTCTGAAAGAGGTTATTTAACATAGCTGGGATTTCTTCTTTGAATGTTTTCATAGCATCAACAATGAAGCCATTTGGAGTTTTATATCTAGAGAGATTGATGGTAATTAATTTTCTTTAACAGACTGAGGTATTTGGATTTCTGTTTCATGTTGTGATAAGTTGTATTTTTCAAGGAACTTGTGCATGTCATCAAAATTGTCAAATTTCTTTGCATAAAGAAGTTTATACTTTCTCTTTTTTTTTTTTTTTTTTTGAGACGGAGTCTTGCTCCGTCACCCAGGCTGGAGTGCAATGGCGCGATCTCGGCTCCCTGCAACCTCCGCCTCCCGGGTTCAAGTGAGTCTCCTGCCTCAGCCTCCCGAGTAGCTGGGACTACAGGCGCCTGCCACCAGGCCCGGCTAATTATTTTTGTATTTTTAGCACAGACGGGGTTTCACCGTGTTAGCCAGGATGGTCTCGATCTCCTGACCTCGTGATCCGCCCGACTCGGCCTCCCAAAGTGCTGGGATTACAGGCGTGAGCCACCGCGCCCAGTCTATACTTTCTCATTTTGTAACTGTTCACCTTATTAACCATTTCCTTACTTGCCATTGAATATCTGCAGGTTTTATGCTGATGGCCCTCCTTTTATTCCTGATATTAGTGAGTTCGTGTTTTCTCTTTTATTCTTGAGTCTGTCTAGCTAGTAGTTTATCCATGTTGTCAGTGTTTTCAAAGAATCAGCTTTTGGCTCTGATACTTTTCTCTCTTTATTTCTTTGATTTCTCCTCTTATTTTCATTATTGGCTTCCTTCTATTTACCTTGGGTTTATTTTCTCTTCTTTTTCTAGCTTTTTCAGATAGAACCTTAGGTCATTGATTATAGATACTTATTTTTCAGTATAACAATTTAAGTTTTTTGTTTTTAGACTTCGTGCATAGTAAAATTAGTTTTTTTTAGTATACAGTTTTATAAATTTTGAAAAAAGGATTTAGTCCTGTAATAATCACCACAATCTCATCACTCAAAAAATTTTCTTTGTGCTGTTTCTTTGTGGCCACCCATCAGGCCTGCTGTCTTCCTGTCTGGAATTCTGTTTCGAGTCAGGTGTTGTAATGCACTGGAAATTGATGCATGCTGTCGCCTGTGTCTGTTCCTTTAGTTGCTGAGTACTGTTGTCTGGATGGACCACAGTTTGTTGATCCATTCACCCATCGAGGGACATTTGGATAGTTTCTAGGTTTTGGCAGTGATGAATCGAGCCACCATAAACTTTCATGCATAGCTTTTTGGGAGAAAATAAATGTTCACTTCTTTCGGTTCAGTACTTAAACTGAATGCATGGCTGATTCATGTGTAAGTATATATTTAACCTTAAAAGAAACTGTCAAACTGTTTTCTATAGTTGCACTACCGTTTTACATTCCACCAGCAATAGATGAGTGTTCCGGGTAACCACGTTCTCATCAACATTTGGTAAGGTCAGTCTTTTTTTCTAGACATTCTGGTAGATATGTAGTGGTATATCCTAGAGTTTTGTATTTCCTTAATGACTAGTGATCTTGAGCATCTTTTTCTATGCTATTTGCCATCCATATTGTGGGGGAAATGTTTGCTTAAGTCTTTCAGAAAGTTTTTTTTTTTTTTTTTTTTTGAGACAGAGTCTCATTCTGTGGCCCAGGCTGCAGTGCAGCGGGAACGTGTCAGCTCACTGCAACCTCCACCTCCTGGGTTCAAGCAATTCTCCTGCCTCAACCTCCTGAGTAGCTGGGATTACAGGCGCCGCCACCACACCCAGCTAATTTTTTAATGTTTTTAGTAGAGACGGGGTTTCATCACGTTGGCCAGGCTGGTCTCGAACTCTTGACCTCTGGTGACCCACCTGCCTCGGCTTCCCAAAGTACTGGGATTACAGGCATGAGCCACCGTGCCCCACCTCAGAAAGTTTTAAAAAGTTGGATTGTTCGGTTTCTTATTGTTTTGGGAATTCTTTATATCTTTTGAACGCTTTTTTTTGATACATGATTTGCAGGTATTTTCTCCCAATGTATGGCTGGTCTTTTCATTCTCTTAACAGTATGTTTTGCAGAGCAAAACTTTTTACTTTTTTTTTTTTTTTTTTGACAGAGTCTCTCTCTGTTGCCCAGGCTAGAGTTCAGTAGCGCATTTTTGGCTTGCTGCAACCTCCGCCTCCCAGGCTCAAGCAGTCCTCCTGTCTCAGCCTCCTGAGTAGCTGGGATTACAGGCACCTGCCACTATGCCCAGCTAATTTTTGTATTTTTAGTAGAGACGGGGTTTCTCCATGTTGGTCAGGCTGGTCTCGAACGCCTAACTCAGAAGATCCGCCTGCCTTGGCCTCCCAAAGTGTTGGGATTACAGGCGTGAGCCACTGTGCCCCGCCAGATTATACTTTTGAAGTTCTGAGAGCTCTTTCCCTAGCCCAATTTTCCTGAGAAATTTCATAGTTTTACTTTGCATTCAGGTCTCCTTGAATATGCTTGCATACGCTTTTTGCTTTTTATTTTTCTTTTTTGACACTATCTTGCTCTGTCGCCCAGGCTGCGGTGCAGTGGCGCAGTCTCGGCTTACCGCAACCTCTGCCTCCAGAGTTTAAGTGATTCTCCCACCTCAGCCTCCTGAGTAGGTGGAACTACAGGTGCCCACGCCCGGCTAATTTTTGTATTTTTACTAGAGACCAGGGTGCACCGTGTCGGCCAGGCTGATCTTGAACTCCTGTGCTCAAGTGATCTGCCTGCCTCAGCCTCCCAAAGTGCTGGGGTTACAGACGTGAGCCACCGCGCCCGGCCTCAGTTCACTGATTTCAGGTTTTGGTGTTTTACATTTAGAGCTACCTTCGTATGCTGGCTCCAGTATTTTAACGTGATATATGCGTTGTGATTATGACCGTCTTCAGTGCGCACCCCTTGATTCCAGTTTATTTAGTGCATTTAGGGAATGAGCAGAAGCTGCGTATAATCAGAATTGTCCTCGAAATTCCTTCGCGTGCCTGTAGAGTACAGAGACAACGGCCGGTGCCGCACACAGTAAGGCACGCGACGGGGAGCAGAATGTGCAGCGGGCATTCCTAGCCCGCAGCTGGGAGGCTGCTTTTGCTAAATGCATGGTGTTGTTCATCGGTGGTAAATGCATAGGAAGGTGTTGTTGACAGCGTCCAAACCAAAGCCACAGGTTCATCCGGTTCCTTTGTTTTTTTTCTGTAGGCCAGATTTGCATTTGAGTCCAGAGTAATTGTGAGGTAGTTCCAGAGAAACCTGGAGTTGTTATGAAACCCTCAGTTTTTTGGAAGAACATATTAGTCTATAACAAATAGTTTTAAAATTGTTAGAGCACAAATGGATTAGAATTTTTCTATTTTTTGTCATTACCAGGAATGTTATCTTAAGAGAATAGAGTTTGGAGCTATATTGACATACATCTCAATCCTAATTTTCCACTTACTGTTTTTATGGGTTTAGAAAGATGTTTAATATCTCAGTTTCAATTTTCCTGTCTTTAAAGTGGAAACAATCGTATTTCCTTACATGGCTGAGGATTATGTTTCATGGCACAAGTAAACTCACTTCGATGCCTGGTGTCACCGAGTGGCAGTGGCAGAGACGCCTCATCACCAGCGTCACCACGAGCAGTGTTGGGATGGAAGGGGAGCGTGCCCGGCTCACCGCTTTGTTGGTGCAGATTCTCTGCCTAGGTTTCTTACTTTCCTCCTGGAGTCAGAATGACACCTAAAATCTAATGCACCTTCAGGAAAATCAAACAAATCAAAGTTGTTTAAATATTAACAAAATAACATTTAAAGGGTGGTGAAAGCATCATTCTGTAGATGTCCTTGCATGGAAAATGACTGCATTAGAGCTTCGTCCCACGATCAGACGTGGAGCACAAGGTGTGCACCAGGGCCCAGTGGCAGCCAAGGTGGGTGTGGAGTGCATCCGGCACCAGCAGTTTGCTTCTATGGCTGCTTTGTTTTTCACGCTATGGAGTCTTCACTCCAAGAATGCATTCAGGATGTAACGTGCCCTGAAGTAGGGACATTCGGAAGTGGATACATTTAATTTGCCTCTGAAATGTCCTCTCTCTTCAGGTCATATATACCAGAAGTTCTGAGATTGAAGAGCTGAAAGCCACTATTGAAAATCTGCAAGAGAATCAGAAACGATTACAAAAGGAGAAAGCAGAGGAAATTGAACAACTCCATGAAGTCATTGAGAAGCTGCAGCACGAGCTGTCCCTCATGGGGCCTGTGGTGCACGAAGTCAGCGACAGTCAGGCTGGCAGTCTGCAGAGCGAGCTGCTCTGCTCCCAGGCCGGGGGCCCTCGTGGGCAGGCCCTACAGGGCGAGCTCGAGGCTGCGCTGGAAGCCAAGGAGGCCCTGAGCCGGCTGCTGGCTGACCAGGAGCGCAGGCACAGCCAGGCCCTGGAGGCCCTGCAGCAGCGCCTCCAGGGCGCAGAGGAGGCTGCGGAGCTACAGCTGGCTGAGCTGGAGCGCAATGTAGCCCTCAGGGAGGCTGAGGTCGAAGACATGGCCTCCCGGATCCAGGAGTTCGAAGCGGCCCTGAAAGCAAAGGAAGCGACGATTGCCGAGAGAAATTTAGAAATCGACGCTCTGAACCAGCGGAAGGCGGCCCACTCTGCCGAGCTGGAGGCCGTCCTGTTGGCCTTGGCCCGCATCCGCCGCGCCCTGGAGCAGCAGCCCCTGGCAGCCGGGGCGGCGCCTCCCGAGCTGCAGTGGCTCCGAGCGCAGTGTGCCCGCCTCAGCCGCCAGCTGCAGGTGCTGCACCAGCGGTTCCTGAGGTGCCAGGTGGAGCTGGACAGGCGGCAGGCCCGCAGAGCCACAGCTCACACACGGGTGCCCGGGGCCCACCCACAGCCTCGCATGGATGGTGGCGCCAAGGCCCAGGTCACCGGCGACGTGGAGGCCTCCCATGATGCTGCTTTGGAGCCGGTTGTCCCTGACCCACAGGTGGGCTCCCCCCGCGGGCCATGGCAGGGTATTTTTTTTTACTCTCCTTTTCTCCTTTGATGTCAATGACTTCTCTCTGCGCTGGGCACTGGGGGCTGCAGTTGTCATGGTGGCTCATGACACAGCGGAGAAAGGGGGCCTGAAGCTCGGGCCAGCCTGGGCCTGTTCCGTGTCAGTACGCAGTGAAGCTGGGCTGAGGATTTCACTGTTTTGTACCATTTTAAGCTTATCGTTTTAAGCTTTTAAAAACAATTCTTTCTTTCACATAATAGGGACTGTCCAGTGAAACGGAGCTCACTATGTGAGGAGGGTCCGCTTAAGCTGCTTCTCTGGTTTCTAACCAAATGGTTTGTCTGTCGATGAGCAGTGCCTGTGTGAGATGTGGCGAGCGAGCTCTTCTTTTGGAGCTGGAGGCCCTGTAGGGAGTCGTCTTTTAAGGCTTCCACTTGTATTTGAGCAGAACCTTGGGAACTTGGTGCCTACCACCCCCACACCAGCTGGGTCTTTGTAGAGTGGCTCCCACTCTCAGATGCCCCAGTCCACCTTGCTCTGTGGGGTCGTCCTGGGTCGGGGCAGCTTTCTGCTGGGTCCTCAGCCCCGTTCCCATGTGGCCTGCTGTGGACCAAGGTGCTCGGCTGTGGATGTCACTGCCACCTCCCTCTGGCATCCCTGCTGGCTGCCGTACTGGTTCCCAGCTCCAGGCCACCTGAGGGGCAGCCCCAGCAACAGCCTCCTGCATGCTCAGCTTTCCTCTGTCTCCTCTGTCAAGGGTGATCTGCAGCCTGTCCTGGTGACGTTGAAGGATGCACCTCTCTGCAAGCAAGAAGGCGTGATGTCAGTGCTCACCGTCTGCCAGAGGCAGCTGCAGTCGGAGCTGCTCTTGGTGAAAAATGAAATGCGCCTGAGTCTGGAGGACGGCGGCAAGGTGTGGGGAGGGGGGAAGGCGCGAGGTCCCCCCGGGAGAGGCTGGACACGCGGCAGCAAGGTGTGGGGAGCGGGGAAGGCACGAGGCCCACCCGGGAGAGGCTGGACACGCGGCAGCAAGGTGTGGGGAGCGGGGAAGGCACGAGGCCCACCCGGGAGAGGCTGGACACGCGGCAGCAAGGTGTGGGGAGCGGGGAAGGCACGAGGCCCACCCGGGAGAGGCTGGACACGCAGCAGCAAGGTGTGGGGAGGGGGAAGGCGTGAGGCCCCCCTGGGAGAGGCTGGACACGCGGCAGCAAGGTGTGGGGAACGGGGAAGGCACGAGGCCCACCCGGGAGAGGCTGGACACGCGGCAGCAAGGTGTGGGGAGGGGGGAAGGCGTGAGGCCCCCCTGGGAGAGGCTGGGTGCAGAACATGTGGGTCTTGCCCTGGGCAGAGGCGGGTATTCTGCTGAGGTGAGGAGCACAGTCCGTGCCTGCAGTGACATGTTCTCTGAATCCTTTCTGTTCTGTAACGAGCTGTCCATAACTGTTGTGAAATTTCGTACGTGCTTCATTTAAGCCACTCTGTAGAAACAATCAGTTGGGTTTTTTTCTTGTAATTGATCCAAATGGATTTAACTGTGCTCGAGGGTTAGTCCTGGTTTGTCTTTTCATGGGAGGACCACATCGCCCCCGTGGGCCTCACCTCAGCTCAGGACTTTGATGGCCAGCGTCTGTTTTACTTTGAAAGGCCTCAGATTTATTCTTGTAATCTGTTCACCTCACTCCATATTGTCACTTGAAAAAAAGCTGGCACTTCTTTTCCCCGGGGAAGGAGGTTGCACCTTGACCATCTCAAATTGTAGCAGGGTGGAGATTTAGCGAGAAAAGCGGGTGCTGGTGCTTCTCCCACCCAGTGCACCAGGGGCAGGTCCCCAGTGCCCCTAGGAAACACCTGCGCAGGAGCTGCCCTCTCCTCAGGCCGCATCAGGTGCAGATGGCACCTTTATTTTTTTTCTCTCTTTTTTTTTTTTTTTGAGACAGAGTCTTGCTCTGTCGCCCAGGCTGGAGTGCAGTGGCACGATCTCAGCTCACTGCAACCTCTGCCTCCCGAGTTCAAGTGATTCTGCAGCCTCAGCCTCCCGAGTAGCTGGGACTGCAGGCATGCGCCACCACACCCAGCTGATTTTTGTATTTTTAGTAGAGACGGGGTTTCACCATGTTGGCCAGGCTGGTCTTGAACTCTTGACCTTAGGTGATCCACCCTCCTCAGCCTCCCGAAGTGCTGGGATTACAGGCGTGAGCCACCACGCCCAGCCTTAGATGGCACCTTTTGATGCACTGTCTGCACCTCGCCTCCTCCAGTCCAAGGCCCAGCGCAGCCTCCCTGGACACACAGCCACCCACCCTTCTCCTCCTTCTCCTCTGGGACACACATCTGTCCACCCTCCTCCTCCTCCTCCTCCTGGACACAGTCGCCCACCCTCCTCCTCCTGGACACACAGCCGCCCACTCTCCTCTTCCTCCTCCTTCTCGACACACAACCACCCACCCTGCTCCTCCTCCTCCTCCTCCTGGACATGCAGCCGCCCACCCTCCTCCTCCTGGACACGCAGCCGCCCACCCTGCTCCTCCTCCTCCTCCTGGACACACAGCCGCCCACTCTCCTCCTCCTGGACATGCAGCCACCCACCCTGCTCCTCCTCCTCCTCCTGGACACACAGCTGCCCACACTCCTCCTCCTGGACACACAGCTGCCCACCCTCCTCCTCCTGGACACGCAGCCGCCCACCCTCCTCCTGGACACACAGCCGCCCACTCTCCTCCTCCTGGACATGCAGCCGCCCACCCTGCTCCTCCTCCTCCTGGACACACAGACACCTACCCTCCTCCTGCTGGACACACAGCCACCCACCCTGCTCTTCCTCCTCCCCCTCCTCCCTGCTGTTTGCTAAATGTGCCCCAACTACTCCTCCAGGCTCTGAAACCCAGAGGCTCTAACACCAGAAGTGCTGGGCAGGTGTTTTATGGTCTCTAGGGTGGCACGGAAGCATGCTTGGTGCTGAAGCCTGCTGAGACCTGGGCTCACCCGAGCCCCTCGCAGCCCTCGTGAGTGTCCCGCACGTCGCTGGGACGTTTCTTGCATGAGTGCAGGTGCCGCCTGTTCCTGGGTCCACACTGCGTGCACCTCATTGGCGTTTAGAGCCTGAAAGATTCTTAATTCCACAGAAATCAGGGAAGGATGGGCCTAGGCCCGCAGTTCTGAGGAGACCCATGAACCTGGTTCGTGTGCTTGTCATGTGCTCTCGGGAAATACATCCTGTGTGGAGAGCCCTTCGCATCTCCTGCGGCAAACAGTCTTGGGGCCCTCATGACAGGAACGTTTCTTTGAATTTTTTTTTTTTTTTTTTTTTTTTTTTTTTGAGACAGAGTCTCGCTCTGTCGCCCAGGCTGGAGTGCAGTGGCGAGATCTTGAGATCTTGGCTCACTGCAACCTCCACCTCCTGGGTTCAAGCAATTCACTGCCTCAGCCTCCCGAGTAGCTAGGATTACAGGCACCCGCCACCATGCCTGGCTAATTTTTGTATTTTTAGTAGAGACAGGGTTTCACCATTTTGGCCAGGGTGGTCTCGAACTCCTGACCTCGTGATCCACCTGTCTCAGCCTCCCAAAATGCTAGGATTACAGGCGTGAGCCACTGCACCCGGCCCAATTTTTTGAATTCTTAAGAGAAAGCTCAGCCCTGCCTGCCAAATTCTTAGAAGTTACACACACAGAAACTCCAAATTCATCACATAAACCACAATTTTGTGTTTTCGGTGCTCAGATATAGAACCTTCCCATCCTTTTTCCCTTGTATGAAGCTTGTGTCCTCAATCACCGCAGAAATAGGTTATGACAGTTGCCTTTTAAGCAAGGAGATGTAAGCCTTGGTTCTGTTTCTCATAGAATTAAATAAACTTGAAATGTGCAGGGCTCATTGTGGAATCACCCGAGTGCTCCGAAACTCCCTGAAATCCACTCATTAACACCAGACAGGTGCGACTCCTGGTGAGCCAGGTATTCCACCGTGCACCTGTTCTGTTTCACCTGCAGGGTAAAGAAAAAGTACTGGAAGATTGTCAGCTGCCGAAGGTCGATCTCGTAGCTCAGGTGAAACAGCTTCAGGAAAAACTGAACCGTTTGCTGTATTCCATGACCTTCCAGAATGTGGATGCTGCCGACACCAAATCTCTGTGGCCCATGGCCTCAGCACACCTGTTGGAGAGCAGCTGGAGTGATGATTCCTGTGACGGAGAAGAGCCTGACATATCACCCCACATAGACACATGTGATGCCAATACAGCCACGGGGGGTGTAACTGATGTTATCAAAAATCAGGCCATAGACGCGTGTGATGCCAATACAACCCCAGGGGGTGTAACTGATGTTATCAAAAATTGGGATTCCTTGATACCAGATGAAATGCCAGATTCTCCCATTCAAGAAAAATCAGAATGTCAGGACATGTCTCTTTCTTCACCGACCAGCGTACTTGGTGGCTCCCGCCACCAGAGCCACACTGCAGAGGCTGGGCCCCGGAAGAGCCCGGTCGGGATGCTGGACCTGTCTTCCTGGAGCTCCCCTGAGGTCCTCAGGAAGGACTGGACCCTGGAGCCCTGGCCCAGCCTCCCCGTGACACCCCACTCAGGAGCCCTGAGCCTGTGCAGTGCCGACACATCCCTGGGGGACAGGGCGGACACCTCGCTGCCACAGACCCAGGGGCCGGGGCTGCTTTGTTCCCCAGGCGTGTCTGCAGCAGCGCTGGCACTGCAGTGGGCCGAGTCTCCGCCGGCTGACGACCACCATGTGCAGAGGACGGCTGTGGTAGGTGCCTGCTCTGCTCCCAGGCCTGCTGTTCCCGTGGGAATGTGGTCTGCCCGGCGCCACGGCAGCTGCCATTGTTTGTTCACCTCCTGACAGCACACACCTCGCAGTGCTGTGTGGGGCCAGCTCTGCAGGACTGGCATCATGGGCGCATTTAGATTATTTCAGTTGTTCAGGTATTTTTAAAATGCCTGAGATGCATTTGCCTGCCTCAGACATACCCTGGGCATGCTTCTCCACTGACGCTGACTCCAACGGGCATAGCCCAGACACGTCTTCGTGTGTGATGGGCATAGGGTTCTTTGTCCAGAATGGTTTTTTAGATTTATTTTTAGGAATGCTTCCTTTTTTTTTTTTTTTTTTTTTTTTTGTGAGATGGAGTCTCGCTCTGTCACCCAGGCTAGAGTGCAGTGACGCAATCTCGGCTCACTGCAGCCTCCGCCTCCCCAGGTTCAAGCAAATCTCCTGCCTCAGCCTCCCTAGTAGCTGGGACTACAGGCACACGCCACCACACCCGGCTAATTTTTGTAGTTTAGTAGAGACGGGGTTTTACCTTATTGGTCAGGCTGGTCTCGAACTCCTGACCTCATGATCCACCCACCTCAGCCTCCCAAAGTGCTGGGCTTACAGGCGTGAGCCACCATGCTCAGCCAGAAATGCTTCATATTTTTAACAGGTTTCACATATGCTAATTAATTTTAATTTATGAGTTAGATCGTATTATTTCTAACATAATCATTTTGGGATTTTGTGTATCTTGAGTAAGATAAAATTAAAAATCAGGTATGGTTGGGCTCATGCTTGTAGTCTCAGCACTTTGGGAGGCTGAGGCGGGAGGATTGCTTGAGCCCAGGAATTTGAGACCAGGCTGGGTAACACGGTGAGACCCTGTCTCTACAAAAAAAACACAAAAAATTAGCTGGGCGTGCTGGTGCCGCCCATGGTCCCTGCTCTTCAGGAGGCTGAGGCAGGAGGATCACTTGACCTTGGGAGGTTGAGGATGCAGTGAGCCAAGATTGAACCACTGCACTCCAGCCTGGGTGACAGAGTGAGACCCTCCCTCAAAAAATAATAATTTAGCAGATACATATTATCTGAAACATCCATATACTATCATTTCATGCAAAACAATTTAAATCTGAAATATTTACTATTGGCTACATTAAAATATTCCTAAAGAGCTGTGGGTGAATCTGATTAAATTGTTGGAAGCATTCGACCTGTGTGTTCACCAGTTTTGAGTTGTTTCATCTGGGGTCTATGTGGGAAGATAAATTCAGGCCTTTGAAAGTTTTCACCTGGCAAAGTCAGCGCTATGATGTAATTACTCATTATTTTATGACCATTTAAAAATCTCTTAACAGGAGAAAGATGTCGAAGATTTTATCACAACATCCTTTGATTCTCAAGAAACATTAAGTTCACCTCCTCCTGGATTAGAAGGAAAAGCTGATAGAAGTGAGAAAAGTGAGTTGGTTATCTTTCATTTTTAATTTTTTATTTCAGTGGTTTCCTAGCACAGAATAGTCAAAAGAATTCCTGCATCCTTTGCCTGGTTCTGCGTCTGCCCCCCGCTGACCTCCACCCCGGCTCTGCGCTTTGTCGGGCGTGCACCTGGGGCCTCTTGACTTCTGAAAACACGCCTGTACCTTTCACAGAGCCAAGGTTGCTGGCCCGGGCCACGCTCCACCCTGGAATGTTCACCCTGATCCAAGGCTGGCATCTCAGCTACAGCTACAGACCTTGCTCAGATTCACCCATTGTCCCAGTAGTGTCCTTTATGGAAAAGACACCCCAGCTCACAGGCTGTGTTCAGGTGTCTTTGGCAGGATGGAGACTGGGGCGGTGCACGCCATGTTTCCAGGCTCTGCTGCCTTGCCTGCCCACCCTGCCTTTCCCTCCCCTTGGGGTGGACGTCCCTCTCTCTGCTGTGGGTTTCGGGGCACCGGCCCTGGAGAGGAGCCGAGGGGCCGCTGACTGTGGCGTGTCCTCGCGATGGTGCGTGGGGGGCTGCGTCTCCCCGGACCTCGTGGCGGGAGGTGCGTGGGCTTGACTTGGGCCTTTGTCTGTGATGGTGCCTGCCAGGTTTCCTCCACCTCCTTCTGTGGGAGATGCGGAGACTGAGTATTCTCTTCCCTCTCATGCTCACGCCCACTGGTCTCAGCCTCCCTTGGTTGCCCTGGCCCGCATCAGTTGTTGTGGCGGTTACCTGCCACACCGTCCTTTTTTTCATTTCATAACTTTTTCTATAATTGTTGTCTTTTTACAAGTCAGTCACCTTTTGAGGTGCTCTAACTTTTTAAAAAATCTGTTGGATTTTTCAGCGATTTAGTGTTTTTTGAGAACATGGTCACAATTTAATTAGAAATTTTAGTATTTGCAGAGTAGGGCCAGCAGCTTTTTAATTTTGTTTTTATTTATTTGATGAATAGTGAGCACGCAGGGTGACAGTTATGGGTGCTGAGGGGACCGTTTCCTGAGCAGCCTGTGTCCCAGCTCCCCACTCAGGACTGCAGCTCCCTGGGGATGCCACATTCAACTCTCAGAAATGTCTTCTCGTATTTGCTTTATTTTCAAACTCTATTTGCTGTTTAAAGTGGCATCTTCAGCCCTCCTAGCCCCTCGCCACACGCCCCTTGCTACACGAGGTGCAGTCTGCACGCCCTGTGCTGTCACAGCCAAGGTTTGCCCTTAAAGGACGCGCCCCGTGTTCCAGCAGAGCCGCTGGGAGCGTGCGTCCCCCTCGAGCCACTTTTGTTTTTCTTGGCTCAGTTTCTCCTGTGTGCTTCACTGCTGTCCTCGCACACAGTGTCCAGGTGAATGTCATCCAAGCCTTCCAAGCACAGCAGGTGCTTCCCCAACAACTCTCAGGGGCTCCCAGGCGGCCCCTTGCCCCTCCTCAACGGTCTCTTATTTACCGAGACAGGGTCTTGCTCTCTCACGCAGGCTGGAGTGCAGTGGCGTAGTCTCGACTCACTGCAGCCTCCACCTCCCGTACTCAAGTCATCCTCCCACCTTAGCCTCCCAAAGTGCTGGGATTACAGGCATGAGCCACTGCGCCTGGCCAGCCCCCTCTTTTTTAAGGAAACATGTCCCCAGAAGCCTCTGTAGAAAAGGTGTCTGGTAGGTGCTTGTTTTTGAGAACTTCCTCGTCTCCCTGGTGGTTGTCGGTTGGTTGGCTGGGTGCAGACACTTGGGTTGGAAGGTATCGCGTGCCTGTCCACTGCCTCTGTGCCCGCGCCCTCCAGTGACGCACAACCTTTGAGGGGCCTGCGCGGTCAGGGTGTCCGCCGCCTCTGTGCCTGCGCCCTCCAGTGACACGCGACCTTGGAGGCCTGCGCGGTCGGGGTGGAGGATTTCCTCCTCGTTCGTCCTTCCTCCATTCACGTATCCTATGATTTTCTCTCTTCTTTTTGTAATTCCTGTTATTCAACTATATCAGGCCTCCAAGATTGATTGTCAAATTTTCTTTCCTTATTTCTACTTCTTTTATTTTTGTTCTCATTTCTAAGAGGTTTTCTTTAGAACTTTATTTTTCAACATTTGTGCTGAGTGTTCTGTTTCTGTGCTCATATTTTAAATTTCTCAGAAATCTTTCTTATCCTAACTGTTCCTCTCTCCTTTAGCTTTAGCTCCTTGGTTTCTTTCTTTTTTGGAGGGCGTTCTTGAGTTTATTTTGGGCACAGCCAGGTGAGAGGTCCCTGCACCTGAAGGAAGGTGTTGGGCTCCGAGGTGAAGCATGGTTTGTGCTGAAGGCACAGGGTCCAGTGGGACAATGGGGAATGTGGTCTTGGACTTGTGGAGCTCTGACCACCCGCTGGCGGCACCTGCTGGCTGTGATCTCCTCTGGATGGAGTGGGCTGGGGCATGGTGCTGGGCACCCATGTCTCGGTGGCACTGGGTGACAGTGTCCGCAGCAGTCACATCCCAGAGTTCCTGGTACACGCTGTGGGAGCCGCAGCTCAGGCAGATGCAACATCCTTCACCCTCAGAGATTTCTCAAACACCTGAAGTAGATGATTTCCCCAAAGATTTCTTCGTTGTCATCTTTAGCTGAGATACACAGGGCAGAAGTAGGACTTGGCACCATTATTAGACACAAAGATTTGCAGGCGGTGGGTGGCCTGAGGCATTTTGAGGGGTACAGGCAGCAACCCAGCACCCTGCACCCTTGCACTGCTCCTGAGGCCTTCATGCTGCTCTCTCGGCACTTGCCGCCACTCACAAAAAGCACTTTGTTGGTTCATTTTGTGAATGACGTGCCCGTTATTTCTCTGAGGGGGTCATCGTCATCCTCTGAGGTTGTACTCTGCCTGCATCGTTGGCCTCTACTCCTCCCCAGTGTGCCCTCTGCTCAGCAGGCTGTGCCGGGGCATCATCCCCCAGGTGCCCAAGTGCTGCAGCCTCCGCTCCCCAGGGAGCTTTGTCCACACGGGGGCCCCGTCTCGCTGGCATCCTCATCCTCCTGTTTTGAAGTCTAACACCCTTTTTCCAGGGCGCCTCCTCCTCGTCTGGGTCTCGTGTCCCTTACACGATCCTGCCTCAGTTTCCAAAGCGCCCCCCTCCCTGTGGGCTGGCGCAGCTGCAGGTCTCTGGGATGGACCAGGGCCCTGGGAGGTTTTGAATTTTCCTCCTTGAGACCCCATGCCCACCTGACACAGGAGCTGCACCGCAGGGACCCCATGGCAGGCACGGTCAGCGTTTCCTGAGCAGTCATTGGATGCCCGTCCGCTGCCTGCCTTATCTCCGTGGCTGGCGTGGAGGGTGCAGGCCCCGCACGTCCCGCTGCTCTTGAGCTTGCCCAGGCCATCTGGGTTTTGTGGAGTCTTTGGGGGCCACGTCTGGAGAAGTGAGCAGAGGTCCCCTAAGATTGGCGCTGGAATCAGGGACTCAGGTGATGTTCTCAACCTGTGAAGTTGCGTTTTCTTACTTGACGTGCGTCTTTCTCACCAGGGTTATGTTTTTATGAAGCATTTTTGGGGCCATCAGTGTTTTCTCCGTGAGCAGAATCACGGTGTGGTTGTCGCTGGGGACTGCGGGCCGATCACCCCTGTCCTGCCTCTGCAGTGCGTCCCCTGGGGAACCCCCTGGAGAGCTGTGGGTGGGACCCTGACCCTGTGGTGTTTTTAGGTGACGGCTCGGGTTTTGGAGCAAGACTGAGCCCGGGGTCAGGAGGCCCTGAGGCTCAAACTGCTGGTCCTGTGACCCCTGCTTCCATCTCTGGAAGGTTTCAGCCGCTGCCGGAAGCCATGAAGGAGAAGGAAGTGCGTCCGAAGCACGTGAAGGTATGGCTGGCAGGGGCGGCCCTCACAGCTTCACATGTGCAGCCTCGGGGCATCCCCCAAGCCCTGTGTCCTGCCTTGCCGGGGAGAGCCTTGGAGGGCCAGCTTTTCCTGGGTGCCTCTGAGCACCTGCATTTTAATGACTCACGGGAGGCAGCCCCACGGTGGCCCCGGAAGCCGCCCACCCAGCCCTGCACTGGCCCCTTAGGTGGCCGCCTCCCATCTGGGCAGGGAGGGTCCTGTGAGCCCGTGGGCAGGTGGTGTTGCCCCGAGTCGCAGAGCCGGCCTGTGCCTCTCTCCCGCCTGTGCCTCCCTCCTGCCTGTGCCCTGTAGAGAAGCCGAGGCACCAGACGCCGCAGTGCTCTAGGACTGAGCCGAGTTCTCTTCAGACGATGGGAGAGAAGCCACTCAGCCTCCTTGGAATCAACCTTGAAGGCAGAATTTTGTGGAACTTTTCATAGGTTTTCTTTCCTCTCCCAGTTTAGCAGATCATTTTATGGCAAAACCATTGACAAAAACTTGGCTAAACAAGTGAGTGATAGAATGATGCCACTACAGGAGCTTAGTCAAGTGGTAAACATATTCCCAAACAAAACAGTCTTCACATCAGTGAAACCTCTTCTGAGACTGCGCAGTAAGTCCTCACTTAGCGTTGCCCCGAGGTTCCTGGAAACTGACCTTGTAGGAAGGACACTCCTGTGCTGCTGGCCGCAGCTCCCGTTGTCTCAGAGGGCCCTGAGGGTGCCTTTGTTACATGCGTTTAAAAGTCGCGGTTTCCAAAACCCATCCATGACGTTAAGTGAGGACTTACTGCATTCAGAATAAAACTTGTTTTACTTTATTTGGCTGGGCACGGTGGCTCATGCCTATGATCCCAGCACTTCGGGAGGCTGAGACAGGAGGATCGTTGGAGCCCAGGAGTTCAAGACCAGCCTGGGCAACATAGTAAGACCCCTCTCTGTCAGAACTGAGTCAGTTAAACCTCTTTTTTTCATTAAAATAAAAAAACTTATTTTACTTTCTTAAACATGGAAATTGGAGATTTTTTTTTTAATCAGTTTTTTATATCTTCTTTGCATTTCCTTTTTTTTTTTTTGGTGAGACAGAGTCTCACTCTGTCACCCAGCAGTGCAGTCACAGCTCACTGCAACCTCTGCCTCCTGGGCTCAAACGATCCTCCCACCTCAGCCTCCCAAGCAGCTTGGATTACAGGCGTGAGCCACCACACCCAGCTAATTTTTGTATTTTCTGTAAAGATGGAGTGTTGCCATGTTACCCAGGCTGGTCTTGAGCTCCTGAGCTCAAGTAATCTGCCCACCTCAGCCTCCCAAGGTGCTGGGATTACAGTGTGAGCCACAGCGCCTGGCCTCAAATTTTTATACAATATAAAACGTCAAGGAGATGTTTCTGTTAGTGTTTCCTATGGAAAACAACCTAATATTAGAATTCCTGATTTTTAAGGAATAAATTTGATTAATGTTAACTCTTCATACTTAGGTTTCATAATTTAAAAAGAAAAGCACAAAAGGCAGGAAAGGCCTCCTGTAGCCCTTGAGGCAGCAGCTGCGAAGCAGAGGAGGAGGGGGAGAGGAGGAGGAAGAGAAGGGGAGGGGGAGGGGAAGAGGGGAGGAGGAGGAAGAGAAGGGAGGGGGATGAGGAGGGGGAGGGGAGGAGGAAGAGAAGGGGGAGTGGGAGGGGAGGAGGGGGAGGGGGAGGGGAGAGGGGAGGAGGAGGAAGAGGAGGAACTGCTGTCCAGGGAGCACCTCCAGCTTTGAAAGGTCCCAAGTCCAGTTGAAAATCACAAGGAGTTTTTTTCATGGATGTCTCAGACTGTTTCAAACTCAGGGTTTTCCTTTATTGTCTTAATTTCTGGCCTGTGTTTTAGAGTGTGGAGCCCTGGGGTTGTGCCCACACTGACGCCGCAGTGGGGAACTGAGTGGAGCTGGGTGCTTGCCCCACTTGGAGGTGGCTCCAGGCGCGTGGGGGACACCCACTGCTCAGATGCAGCCACAGACGCCAAGAGTGTGGTCGACGCTCTAATAGCCCCTGTGGTCCCTATGCTGAGGAGGCTGAGAGGTCCTGAGCACGGGTGGGGCCCCGGCCACTCTTGGCCACCTCTGGCCGTGCCTGGAATTGAGCCATAAGTGGGCAGGGTAGGTGCTGGAGCTCAGGAAATGAGGACTCCCCTGCCTCCGCCGCTGCCACCACCACCACTGCTGACAGGCAGAGCCGCCTGGTCCTGAGTGTGGAGATGGCAGAACCTTCTCAGCCCTAGTGATTGTGTCTGTGGGACCCCCCAGGCTGCCTCACAGGCCATGTTCTAAGGTACCCACTGGTCTCTGCCCCACTTCCCGGCCTCACGGGAACCCACCTGCAAGGGCCCCGTGTCACCTGGCGGGAAGCTGTGGCCCAGGGCCTCTGCATCTCTTCTTTGTAAGAGATGTTTTTTAAAATGCATTTTCTCCTCTATACAGAATCTAGAAAAGCATATTAAAAAGAAGGAAATGGCCTGTCCTCTGCAGCTGGAAGAGAGGGGCCAAGCAGCTTCAGGGCCTGCCCGCCGCCCTGCTCCCCCGGCCCTGCTCCCACTGCGCCCCCCCCAACCCTGCTCCCCCAGCCACGGCCTTGCTCCCCCCGTCTCCGCTCCTCCCCGCACCACCCCGCTCCCCTCAACCCCACCCTGCTCTGCCGCAGACCTCAGTTTGCATCCATCCTGTGCCACATACGTTATGTTTAAAGTAAAAGTGTTTTCAGTTGTTAGAGATGAACATAGTGTGCAATTTGGTTTCACACTTTAGTGTTAATATTTGACCTTTTTTGGCATATCGTTAAAATTACAGGAAAGCCTATTTTCAGTCAGTCACACCCGTCGTAGGCTTCATCATTGCCTCATTTTGCATTTCCCTCTTTTTGGACTTTATTAGATTATTTTTCTCTTCAGGTTTTTATGCAGACGTGTCCTGTGCTTGGGTGTGTGCTCATGTGGTGGTGACCGCGCTGAGCCTCTGGGCTCTGGGCTCTAGGCTGGTCGTGACACCAGCTTCTCCATAGGGCCGTCTGCTTACCCCTCAGCCTCTCTGGCGAGACAGTCAAGTGTGTGTCCGGACACCAGCTGCTGCGTAATCGGTGGGATAAAGCAGCCGCCTCGTGTTCACAGACCTGTGGGCAGGGCCTGCTGGGGATGGTTTTCTCTGCTCCCCGTGCCCAGCACAGGCAGCTTCACCCCACGCTGGTGGTCGGCACTGGCCTCAGCCGGACCACGCACAGAGGCCTCCTGGGTGGCCATCGTGTGGCCTTCTCGTAGCGTCCCAGGTGGGCAGGGAGTGTGTGATATGTTTGTGATCTCGCTGTGGACATTGGCCTAAAGCCCTGCCCTGAGCTTTGTCCAGGCTTAGGCGGGGGACGGTGTCCCCCTCAGGGAGCAGGTGGAGTGGAGGAAGTGGCGGGGCCATCTTTGGAGTGGCTTATAGAGAAATTCACTCCAAGCCTGGCTTCCGTGTTGTCTCTCTGAAGGTCGGGAGAGGTGGGCTTGAAAACCTTGTAGCTTGAGAAGTGGGTGCCGCCTGTACGAAGCCGAGGCGGTGCCCTCCCTCTCCACAGCTGCCCGCCCTTCACAGAGTCCTGGCGGCAGCTCGGGGCCGCAGGTGGTGTAGAGCGTGGCTGTGTGGGGTGGCAGGCAACTCCCTTCTGACGCGCTTTCCCGCCACAGGCTTTACTGCAGATGGTGCGTGACGAGAGCCACCAGATCCTGGCGCTGTCAGAAGGCCTTGCACCCCCAAGCGGCGAGCCACACCCACCCCGGAAGGAAGACGAGATACAGGACATCTCGCTCCATGGGGGAAAGACGCAGGTTTATTTTGCCCTTCACACACTTCTTTTCCAAAGGATTTAAGGAGCTTGTGGTAATGGCCGCGTCCTTAGGGCCACGTGGACACTAGGATTTCTTTCTTTTTTTTTTTTTTTTTTTTTTTTTTTGAGACTCGGCTCACTGCAACCTCCACCACCCCGGGTCAAGCAGTTCTCTGCCTCAGCCTCCCGAGTAGCTGGGATTACAGGTGCATGCCACCATGCCCAGCTAATTTTTGTATTTTTAGTAGAGACGGGCTTTCACCATCTTAGCTAGGCTGGTCTTGAACTCCAGACCTTGTGATCCACCCGCCTCAGCCTCCCAAAGTGCTGGGATTACAGGCATGAGCCACCGTGCCTGGCCTAGGATTTTTTTTAGCACGGCCAAAAAGACTGAGGTCCAAGAACCCTGGGGAGGCCTTCCCATCTCCCACAGCCAGCGCAGGCTCTCGGGGCAGGTTCCCTGCGGGACGTGGAGGTGTGTGGGGGGCAGAAGGGCTCAGGGCTTTCAGGCCTGTGCCCTGTGTGAGCCTGCGGGGAGGCTGAGAGTGGTCCCTCCTGGCCATGTGGCCCTGCGGACTCGGCCCATTCCAGCACTTGTCCCCCAGGGCCTCTCCTCCTGCCACTCGGGTGACTTGCCCTCCGGCCTCATTCCTCCCCTTGGGTCTCTCCTACCTCCCCCTCCACACCCCAAGCCCCAGCAACTGGACCTCAGGGCCTCACCTCTGTGCTGTCGACCCCGCACCCCACTTTTCCCCAAGTCCTCCCCATCTCCCTGCCTGTCTGCTTCCATCACCAGGGCTTGTGGAGGTTGTGGAGTGGGTGCCAACTCCCATCACGCTCCCTCCCATCTCCGTGCCCACCCTGTCCTGCCCCTGTGCCTGCCTCTGACTGGGATCAAAGCTTTGTGAGGGAGGGAAGGGCTTTCTCCCTGTGCCTGGAACGCACAGGGTGTGCTGGTGCCATGGAGAGCCGGTGGGAGGGTCAGCCCCACCCGCCTCCGCTCGCCCCTCCAGCAGGCCCTGGTTGTGTGCGAGCGGCAGCCTGGCTGGCATTCAGGAGGCTCATTGGTGCTGCACGCTGCCCCTGGGGACCAGCGGGTAGCCCCTTGCAGCCTTAGGTCCCCTCCAGGCCCTGGGCCTTGAAGGCACAGCAGCAGGAAAAGAGGGAAGGAGCTTTGCTGACATTTTCCTGACCTTACTTTATCGTCTTTTTCAGTCTCTTCTGTGCTCATGATGGCAGCCTTTGCTTCTCGTGCCTTGAATGGCCCTGGGCAGTGTGTGTCTTCTCTTCTGTCAGGGTCATTTCTGTTTGAACGGCTGTCAGTCTGCTCAGCTGCCGTAACAGAACACCCCAGACCAGGGGGCTTAAACAGCAGACATTGATTTCACCTGTTGTGGCATCAGGGTGCCCACAGGGTTGGATTCTGGTGTAGGCGCCCTTCCTGGTTTGCGGACAGCGTCTCCGTGCTGTGTCCTCATATGATGGAGACAGCGAGTGAGCTCTGGTGTCTCTTCCTCTTCTTAAGAGGCCTCATTTACCCTGAATCACCTCCCGCAGGCCCCATCTCCAAACGCAGTCACACTGCGAACTTTAGGGCACAAGGATGCAGGTGCATTTGTGAGGACGCCACGTTTCTTCCTTCTTCCTTTAGGAAGTGCCCACCGCGTGCCCCGATTGGAGAGGGGACCTTCTGCAGGTTGTGCAAGAGGCCTTTGAAAAAGAGCAGGAGATGCAGGGGGTTGAGCTGCAGCCCCGACTCAGTGGCTCAGATCTGGGGGGTCACAGCTCCCTGCTCGAAAGGCTGGAGAAGATCATCCGTGAGCAGGTGAGTGTCAGCTCTGCCACCAGGCCTCAGTTTGCCCCAGGGGTCCAGCCCTGGCAGAGAGGGTGACACAGACTGTTTTGTGTGTGAATTTCGGTTTGTGTGTTTCTCTCGACCGCTGGAATGTGGCTGTCACTTACCCAGGTGTTGACGCTCAGTCCATGCAGGATGCTGCACTTTTCCACCTGCAGCTGTAACAGGACAGGTGTGCTCGAGATGCACCCTCAGGCCTCACTCTTTTCTGAGATAGGTGGCTAAAGAAACGTTCTCCATTCCAAGTAGCCCCTCCTAGGTTGAGAGGTGCTCTGTGTGCAGGGCTGGGTGGCGTTGGTGCCGTGGGGACACTGGAAATCCTGTTCCTGCCAGCATACACGAGGAAACCTAGTGTTGAGAGTAACTGGCTTGCAGGCCTCACGCAGGGTAGTGCAGCCCAGCCCTGACGCCTGCAGGCCCCAGAGCTGAGGCCCAGCAGATACTGTGCACCCATCCCAGACTCAGCAGGCTTGTCCCGGCGGAGCTGGTTTTGAGGGCGGGCAGCAGGGAAGGCCGGGGCATGGGGTGGCTGCCCAATGCTCAGGCTGCTTGTCCCATTGTGCCCCCAGGGAGACCTGCAGGAAAAGTCCCTGGAGCATCTTCGCTTGCCGGACCGGAGCAGCCTGCTGTCCGAGATCCAGGCGCTGCGTGCCCAGCTGCGCATGACGCACCTGCAGAACCAGGAGAAGCTGCAGCACTTGCGCACGGCGCTGACAAGCGCAGAGGCGCGCGGGAGCCAGCAGGAGCACCAGCTGCGCAGGCAGGGTGGGTGTCACTGTCTACACTGCCTGGGGCCCGGCCTCTGCACCTGCCCGCCCGACACTCACCTGTGTGGCCTTGGGAGCAGAGGGTGGTGACAGGGCATCATCTAGTCAAGCCCCTGAGTGTTGCCATGGTTGTCAGCTGATAGGACTGAGCAGAAAGGACCCTGGAGACAGGCAGCGCTGGGTGGGGCTGGCACGGAGGCCTCACTCTTGGGCCTGATGTGGGCAAGAGGGGCCTGGGTTGGGCTCTGAGTGCTGGCAGATTCTTGGGAGCTCATGCTAGAGTTCAGGAATGTCTCGTAGGTTTCTACATTTAATTTAGCTTCTTCGGGAGTTTTTATGTAGATGCTCAGGTCATCTGTGGGTAAGTAACGATTTTTTGTTTCTTGCCCGTGTTCTCTCACGTGCTGTGCCGTCAGCTGTGTGGGCAGATGCCATTCCCTGCTCTTAGTTTTGGGGGCAGGAGCTGGTCTCGTACCATCGCATGTGGGGTCAGGCGCCCTTGGTCAGCTTGGGCAAGTGCCCTCTGTTCCTAGTTTTGGATTCCGTCAAGGGGAACGGCCTTGCAGTTCAGCCCACGGCCCTTGTCCCGGCGCCCATGCCCTTTGTGCTCTCTGGGGCTGGGGGCCGGCGCTGTGCACATGCTCGTGAGGGGCATGGGTGGGGCTGGCGCTGTGCAAGCGCTTGTCAGGGGCATGGGCGGGGGGTGCCGGCGCTGTGCGAGCGCTCGTGAGAGGCATGGGGGGGCTGGCGCTGTGCACGTGCTCGTGAGGGGCACGGGCAGGGGGTGCCGGCGCTGTGCGAGCGCTCGTGAGGGGCATGGGGGGGCTGGCGCTGTGCACGTGCTCGTGAGGGGCACAGGGGGGCCGGCACTGTGCGATCGCTCGTGAGGGGCATGGGGGTGGTGGGCCGGTGCTGTCTGAGTGCTCGTGAGGGGCACTGGTCTGTTTTCTGTTGTGCCTTTTTGGTCTTGGTGCTGGGTAGCGCCAGCCCCACGGGGTGCGGGAAGTATTTGGGAAGTAGCCCCTCCGCCCTCCGTTGTCTAGAATTGGGGTTATTTCTTCCTTAAGTTTTGGGAGAATTTTCCAGTAAAGCCACCTGGGCCTGGAGTTCCCTCTGTTGGAGGCAGTTTAGGGTGTGAGTGGGGGTGAGGTGGCATTTTTAGGATGGCCCCAGGGCTATATCACTCCTGGACTCTGTGTCTCCCGGCCAGGTGGGTGGGCCCTGGAAGGAAATGGGCCCAGAGGGCAGAATTGAGCATCCTGGTTCCACCCGCAGTGAAAGCTTCTAGTCCACAGAACCTCCTTTCTTCCCGAAGCACATACACCTCACGCCCCCACGAGTCTGTCTCTAACCTGGTGTCACTTGTGCAGCACGAGGAGCTCATGGGGGCCTGTTACTGTTCTTTTGTCTTTCTCAGTTGAACTGCTGGCTTATAAAGTAGAGCAGGAGAAGTGCATTGCTGGTGACTTGCAGAAGACGCTGAGTGAAGAGCAAGAGAAGGCAAACAGCGTGCAGAAGCTCCTGGCGGCGGAGCAGACTGTAGTGCGAGATTTGAAGTCCGACCTCTGTGAGAGCAGGCAGAAGAGCGAACAGCTGTCCCGGTCCCTCTGCGAGGTGCAGCAGGAGGTCCTCCAGCTGAGGTGCGCCTGATCCCCCTTCCTGGGACACTGGCGGGAGTCCCCCCGTTGTGCCATGTTTTCTTGGTGATGAAGGGAGACAGAACCTCTGGTGGGCCGCAGTTGGGCAGCCCCAGGGGCACCGCGCCCTGCTGTCCCTGGGTTGATAATCCTGTGGTGGGGGGTGAAGCACACGTGTGGGACCTGGCAGGGCTCTGCCTCCCCTCCTGGAGCTCCCAGCCCCCGGGAACACACTCTGGCCCACGTGGTCAGATTGTTCTGCGATGTCTCCACGCAGATCCATGCTGAGCAGTAAGGAGAACGAGCTGAAGGCCGCGCTTCAGGAGCTGGAGAGTGAGCAGGGGAAGGGGCGTGCCCTGCAGAGCCAGCTGGAGGAGGAGCAGCTGCGGCACCTGCAGAGGGAGAGCCAGAGTGCCAAGGCCCTGGAGGTAACAGGGTGTCAGGGCAAGGCAGCCGGCATGGGCTGTGTGCACTGGAAGCCTGAAGCCATGCTCCTCTTTCATCCTTCTTTTCCTGTTCTTCATGGCAGTGCACCCAGTTGACAGCAGTGTGACGTAGCAGGATAGGGCTGTGTTTGCAGGTAAAATTGCACCTTGGTGTAGTGGCAGCCACCACAGGGCGAAGAGTGCGATGACCCGTGGTGGCACGATACCCCTGCTCGGAGCCCCCCCCCGTCCCTGAGCACTTGCTGTGGAGATGGACACAGCCTCCTCGCTGGCATCCAGACAGAGCACAGCCTCAGAGGTCTGTGCACAAGGCAGGCTGGTGGTGGGGCCTCTGCTTTGCATGGCGGAGGCCCAGCAGGCCTGCTGTGGCTTCTGAGCAAGTCTGTGCCAGTTCCATGGGTTATGGCTTTCAACAGCATGGAAGTGGTGGTTCCTAGCAAGCTGGGTGTGTATCTCTGAGCCTCTGGTGGAGTGATTTTCTGAAGAGGGGGCAGGAGCCTCTGGTGGAGTGATTTTCTGAAGAGGGGGCAGGAGCCTCTGGTGGAGTGATTTTCTGGAGAGGGGGCGGGCAGGGGACATCTCTGAATCATTTTCTGGAGAGGGACAGACTGGGAACATCTCTGAACCCAGGACTCAACACCATTTCCGAAAAAAGTATGTCATCTCCGCAGTCTGGGTTTTTTGTTACTTGATGAACTAACAAAAAAATGTTGTCCCTACATGTGGCTAATAGGGTGCATTTCAAAAGGTAGAATTGCTGGGCTAAAGTATATAAACAAATGTGGACAGGAAAACCATGTAGACACTTTTCCTCTTGATTCAGTGTCTCCCATCGTATGTGTTTGCTGTCTAGGAGCTGCGGGCGTCTTTGGAGACACAGCGTGCTCAGAGCAGTCGACTCTGCGTGGCACTGAAACACGAGCAGACGGCCAAGGACAACCTGCAGAAGGAGCTGCGTATCGAGCACTCACGCTGCGAGGCCTTGCTGGCTCAGGAGCGGAGCCAGCTCTCTGAGCTCCAGAAGGACCTTGCGGCTGAGAAGAGCCGCACCCTGGAGCTGTCAGAGGCCTTGCGGCACGAGCGGCTCCTGACCGAGCAGCTGAGCCAGAGGACACAGGAGGCTTGCGTGCACCAGGACACACAGGCCCATCACGCTCTGCTGCAGAAGCTGAAGGAGGAGAAGTCCCGGGTGGTGGACTTGCAAGCGATGCTTGAAAAGGTGCAGCAGCAAGCCCTGCATTCTCAGCAGCAGCTTGAGGCTGAGGCTCAGAAGCACTGTGAGGCGCTCAGGAGAGAGAAGGAGGTAAGTGCCACACTGAAGTCGACGGTGGAAGCCCTGCACACCCAAAAACGAGAGCTGAGATGCTCTCTGGAGAGAGAGAGGGAGAAACCAGCGTGGTTGCAGGCAGAATTAGAGCAGTCACACCCACGGTTGAAAGAGCAAGAAGGACGCAAGGCTGCGAGGAGGAGCGCGGAGGCCAGGCAGAGCCCAGCGGCTGCGGAGCAGTGGAGGAAGTGGCAGAGAGACAAGGAGAAGCTGGTGAGAGCCGCCTGCCGGCGGAGCGTCCACACCTAAAAACGATAAGCAATTGGAGTTAGGATGGTTCACGTGGGGGACGCGAGATTTATGTCTGGCCCTCTGACCTGGTCTGCTCTGGTCTGTGTGCCCTGACGCTGGCACCACACTGCTGTTACTGTAGCTTTCTAGAAAGTATTGAAATCAGGAAGTGTGAGTTCTCCAACTTCGTTCTTCCTCTTCAAGATAGTTTCAGCTCTGTGGGGCTTCTTGCTATTCCACAGGAATTTGAGGATTGGTGTTTGTATTTCTGCAGAACCTGCCACTGGGATTTTCTTAGGGATGGCATTAAATGTGCTGATTGCTCTGGGTAGTATTGACATCTGGACAGTGTGAGGTCTTTTGATCCACGATTACAGAATGTGTCTCTTCATTTAATTAGGATTTTTTTGAGATAGGGTCTGGCTCTGTCACCCAGGCTGGAGTGCAGTGATGTGATCTCAGCTCACTGCAGTCGCCGCCTCCTGGGTTCAAGCAATTCTTCTGCCTCAGCCTCCCACGTAGCTGGGACTGCAGGCACATGCCACCACGCCTGGCTAATTTTTGGATTAGTAGAGACAGGGTTTTCCATGTTGGCCAGGCTGGTCTCAAACTTCTGACCTCAGGTGATCCGCCCGCCTGGGCCTCTCAGACTGCTGGGATTACAGGCGTCAGCCACCACACTCGGCTGTTTACTTAGGCCTTCTTTAGTTTCTTTCAGTAGTGTTTCATTGCTTTCAAAATATAAGTTTTATACTTTTGTTAAATTTATTTACTTATTTATTTTTTGAGATGGAGTCTCATTCCGTCACTCAGGCTGGAGTGCAGTGGCACGAACTCAACAATGTTGAATAGAAGGGATGAGAGCAGGCCGGGCACGGTGGCCGATGCCTGTAATCCCAGCACTTTGGGAGGCCAAGGCAGGCAGATCATTTGAGGTCAGGAGTTCAAGACCAGCCTGGCCAACAAGGCGAAAGCCCATTTCTACTAAAAATACAAAAAATTAGCCGGGCATGGTAGTGTGCACCTGTAATCCCAGCTATTCGGGAGGCTGGGGCAGGAGAATTGCTTGAACCCGCAAGGCGGAGGTTGCAGTGAGCCGGGATTGCACCGCTGCACTTCAGCCTGGGCAACAAGAGCGAGACTCCATCTCAAAAAAACAAAAACACTCTTTGGAATAGTCGTAGTTTTTTTTATCTCCAGAAGCCTTGGAGAGTAGGGAGGTGGTTTGGTGGTACAGACAGTGTGGCCAAGCATGGCAGGGGCGTCTACACAGGACCCCAGCTGAGGGTGAGACGTGGTGTGTGTGTTTGCCTTTCTCCTGGGCAAGAGCTCATCCTTTGATGGAATGCTCAAAGGAGTCTTTACTTTTTGAGAACTTCCTGAAACCACGCCTGAAGTTGCCAGCCAAAACCTTTAATTTTGATTGTTTCTTAAAAAAAATAGTAACATGAGTGCTTAGAAAATATTTTCTAAGTTGCTTGCTTCAGGATGCATCTTGACCTGTATTTTGAGTGAGGTGGCCCTTCCAGAGTGATTTATTTATTAATTTTTTTTTTGAGGTAGAGTCTCGCTCTGTCTTCCAAGCTGGAGTGCAATGGCACGATCTTGGCTCACTGCAACCTCCACCTCCCGGGTTCAAGTGATTCTCCTGCCTCAGCCTCCTGAGTAGCTGGGATTACAGGTGCATGTCACCACGCCCAGCCCAGCTAATTTTTGTATTTTTAGTAGAGACGGGGTTTTACCACATTGGTCAGGCTGGTCTTGAACTCCTGACCTTGTGATTGATCCGCCCACCTTGGCCTCCCAAAGTGCTGGATTACAGGCGTGAGCCACTGTGCCCGGCCTCCAGAGTGTTTTTTACTGAGGATAGTGAATTTGATCTGGATTATAGAACCCTTCTCTAGCTGTAGCCATGGAAGCCTCCCAAGATAGTGGCATGCTGGATACAATTCCATCTTTTCTAAATAATACAATCTCATTAGTTCCTCTGTATCTTACTTTCCTTACTAGAAAATAGAAAAGATACTCATTCCTGTTTAAGAGGCCCGAGCATTGAGTGAGGCGCTGTCAGGAGGGTAGAGTCTGAGCTGCACCCTGGTCACCGCAGTGGCAGGGGCGCTGGTGCCACACAGTGCAGGCTCAGCTGTGGGTCCTCTGGGCTGGGAAGGCCTCAGCTCAGTGCTGGGGTTCCCTCCCTGACACGGCAAGCCGCCTCTGTGTGTCTGCATCTTGGGCCTCTTCCCGCTGGATCTGTCTTTGTGTTGTCACAAGGAAGCCCCAGCGGCGCTGCTGGGAATCAGAGGCCCTTCAGAGGCTGCTTCGTCCTTCCTTGCCCCATCGTGCAGTAGACCTTCTGTCCCCTGCCTGGTGGGAGTCGGGCCCTGGGCAGGGGCTCAGGCGCTTGCTGACACGCTTCTCCCGGGCACCAGACATGGCCTGTGCCCCCGTCCTGCAGAAGGAAAGGCTGCTGCTCCTTGAGGTCTGGCTTAGGAGCTCAGGCCCACGTGGCCACCCAGGCTCAGCCCCAGGGCTGCACTCAGGCTCATACGTGTGTGCATGTTCACATGCACAAATGTGCCTGTCTGTGTCTATGTTGGTATGAGCGTCTGGGCGTGTGCGTGTACATATGTGGATGAGTGGGACCAGGGCACAGGGAAGCGTCATCCGGTCTGTTCTGTTTCAGCTTCTCAGGCTCCTCTCCTTTGGACCCCGCGTGCTTGCCCTGGGCCTGATGAAAGCCTGATAGTTTTAAAAACTACGATGGAAACGCTTTTACCACTGAATCATTCTGGGGTGTGTGATTCAGCTGCCTCCATGCTGGAGGGACACAGAGCAGCACAGCACGAGGGTGTGCAGTGTGTCAGCTGTGGGTCCCAGTACAGGACCACAGGGGCTGCCTGCCCGAGGGCCTGTTTCTGGTCTGTGAGGGGCCTCCCCTGTAACGCGGCTGTGTGTTTTGGGCTTTTGCTTGGCAGTTGTTGTTTTTTTTGTTTTGGTTTGGTTTTTTTTGGTAGATGGAGTCTCACTCTGTCGCCAGGCTGGAGTGCAGTGGCGCAATCTCAGCTCACTGTAACCTCTACCTTCTAGGTTCAAGTGATTCTCCTGCCTCAGCCTCCCGAGTAGCTGGGATTACAGGTGCGCACCACCACGCCCAGCTAATTTTTATATTTTTAGTAGAGACGGGGTTTCCTCATGTTGGCCAGACTGGTCTCGAACTCCTGACCTCAGGTGATCCGCTTGCTGCAGTCTCCCAAAGTGCTGGGATTACAGGCGTGAGCCACCACACCCTGCTGGCAGTTTTGTGTTTTGTTTTGTTTTGTTTTGTTTGAGATGGAGTCTCACTCTGTTGTCCAGGCTGAAGTGCAGTGGCGCAATCTCGGCTCACTGCAAGCTCTGCCTCCCGGGTTCACGCCATTCTCCTGCCTCATCCTCTCGAGTAGCTGGGACTACAGGCGCCCGCCACCACGCCCGGCTAATTTTTTGTATTTTTAGTAGAGGTGGGGTTTCACTGTGTTGGCCAGCATGGTCTCAATCTCCTGACCTCATGATCTGCCCGCCTCGGCCTCCCAAAGTGCTAGGATTACAGGCATGAACCACCGCGCCCGGCCGGCAGTTTTGTTTTTGGACACTGACGTGAACGTCTTCTCTGTCTTTTTTCTGTTAACAACAGCGAGAATTAGAACTGCAGCGTCAGCGTGACTTGCATAAGATCAAGCAGCTTCAGCAGACAGTGAGAGACCTGGAGTCGAAGGACGAGGTGCCTGGCAGCCGCCTCCACCTAGGTTCTGCCCGCAGGGCTGCCGGCTCGGATGCGGACCACCTCCGGGAACAGCAGCGAGAGCTGGAGGCGATGAGGCAGCGGCTGCTCTCTGCCGCCCGGCTTCTCACCAGCTTCACCAGCCAGGCCGTGGACAGGTGTGCACCCACGCCACCTGGCGCTCACTGGTCCCTTGCAGCCACCCCTCTGTCCCAGACCCGGCCCGAGGGCTGGGGCGCGTCTGGTGTGAGGCCCCTGCTCCTTTGCACTTAACGCTCTAGTCCTCTTTCTGAGACTTTGCTGAGGGATTCCGGATTGGCAAGATGGCATGTTCATATTCTAATGTCAGAGAAAAAAATCCTGTGATTCAAAATACGCCTGACGTGGGGCTTCCATGTTCCTTTGAGGGTTGGCTTGGTTCTCTTTACACTCTGTGTAGTTGCTCACCACCCACAGGGTCGGGTTTGGAGCCTCCTGTGGCCCCCCCCCCCCCCCCCCGCTGGCACTGCCCAGTGTCACTCAAGGCCACTCACACCCAGGATGACGATCGTGATATTTCATATGGGCAGAAAGGGTAATGCTAATGTTTGTCTTTTTCCCTATACACAGAAACTCGGCAAACACAGTTCTCCTTTCTATACTTGGACTTAATGTATAGAGCAGCATGATTTCTAAGCAAAGTTTCACTTAGGACAGCATTTTAAATCATTCATTCCAGAGGAAAGCCACGGGGCCTGGCAGGCGGTGGCTTCCCGTGCTCGGTGGCGCGCCTCCCGGCTGGAGGTTTCTGAGCTCTGCAGAAGCGTCCAGCCACAGGCCTGTTGCCCCCGTGGGCCCCTGGCTCTGCCTCACGGCTGGACGAAGTGATTCACACACAGGCTCCTCAGAAACCTGTCTTGTCTCTCTTGAGCCGTGAGCTCTTGTTTAGTTTTGCATAATGGTCACTTGGGGCGCGTATGCAACTTTGAGTGCCCATTTATTTTTACAGGACAGTTAATGATTGGACGTCATCCAATGAGAAAGCAGTGATGTCTTTACTGCACACGTTGGAGGAGCTGAAGTCTGACTTGAGCAGGCCCACCTCCTCCCAGGTAAGGGGTGAGCGCCCCCAGGTCCCTGGCCTGGCTCCTCCCCCAGAGGGGCCCTCTCGGCAGCTTTGTGGTTCTTTTTCACGCTTCCCCATTGTTCTTCCTCCCTCGCTGCCTTCTCTGAATTCATGGTTGCTATCTGGGTGAGTGGGTGGGGTCGACCCTGTGGGCCGAGTGGGGACGGATGTCCTCCATGTCCTGGGGCACTTGTGTGGTCTTCGGGGGCTGAGCCCTGCTGCCATGGGATGCTGTGTGACTGTGTGGTCTTCGGGGGCTGAGCCCTGCTGCCATGGGATGCTGCGTGACTGGTAGAGCCCCCTCACATGCTGCTCGCTGTGCATGACCTGGACACATTGCAGGTCGCTGGTCAGGAGGGGCTATGGTTCTGCTCTGGTGCTGGCGGCCGATGTTCACCTCCACCTGGCCCAGCCTGCTGGCTTTGTGTTTGCGTTGACGGCCTTTGCTAGAAACAAAAACCCAAGTCCTCCTTGGAAAGTCTGAGCTCACTGTAAGCTGCCTCTGAAGGAGGTGGGAATCTGGCTGCTGGTATAAATTCTTGATGTGTGTTCTGTGGCATTTATGAAATCATGACTTTGATCGTGGAGCCCACGCATGTGAGGTGCAGGGGAGCTGCGCCGCTTACCCTCTGGCCCCGCCAGCTGAACGTCGTTGTGGGTGGGGTGCACCCTGCCCCCTGTGTTGGGCCCTGGTGACCTTTCAGCGTGCCCACCCTCCACAGGCTGAACGTCCTTTTGATGGTGGAAGTAATAAACCTGTTTTGAGGGGCTTCACATCCGCCCCCTTGGGATGAACTAACAACGGTCCAGCCACCTGTTAATTTCAGTGCTGTTAGAACAACCAAACGGGCTATGCTTTGTGACAGGCCTGCGTTGTTCATACAAGCCAGTTGCGTGCAAAGTCTGTGATTCAATGACTTTTACAATTTTCTGCCAGCTCCACAAGCTTCTCATTGAACCCCAGACACATTAATTACAATCCCTAAAAATAACTGTTGACAAAAAACACAAGTAATGTTCATGCCCTTTAACAACAAATTCTTACAAATTTATTTTCTTTTCTCCAAGAAAAAAATGGCAGCAGAGCTGCAGTTCCAGTTTGTGGACGTCCTGCTGAAAGACAATGTTTCCCTCACAAAAGCGCTCAGCACGGTGACCCAGGAGAAGCTGGAGCTGAGCAGAGCCGTGTCTAAGCTTGAGAAGTTGCTGAAGCACCATCTGCAGAAGGGCTGCAGCCCAAGCGTAGGTGTCTGTGCTTAACTCTTACCTGCCTCAGCCTAACCCACCATGGTCCAGAGCAGCTCCACCCCACAAGAGGCCGGGCTCCCTTTAGGGACCTGGGGATGTGGGCGTCACCTTCTCCCTAACCGCCAGGCTCTGTTGCCTCTGTCTGAAGCCTTGCTAAATGTTGTGGGATGTTTGAACATCTCAGCCGACTTCCAGCTCCGCCACAGACGGCGTCCTCACTGACCCTGACCGCTACTTGATGTTTGGTGCATGTTCATAAAAGGGTATTTTGACTAAGAATATTATAATCTGATCTAATTTAGAGTTTTAGTTAAAGTGATTTATAATTTTTTTTTTTTTTTTTTTTTGAGACCGAGTCTTGCTCTGTTGCCCAGGCTAGAGTGCAGTGGTGCGATCTCAGCTCACTGCAACCTCCACCTCCCAGGTTCAAGCAATTCTCCTGTGTCAGCCTCCCAAGTAGCTGAGATTACAAGTGCCCGCCACCACACATGGCTAATTTTTATATTTTTAGTAGAGATGGGGTTTTGCCATGTTGGCCAGGCTGGTCTCAAAATCCTGACGTGATTCCGCCCACCTCAGCCTCCCAAAGTGCTGGGATTACAGACATGAGCCACCGTGCCCGGCCTAAAGTGACTTATAATTTTCATAATGGTATAGTTGGATAGAGTTATCTTCCGGAATGTCTCATTTTTTTTTCTTTTGTATTTAGGCTATTTTGTTTGTGATTTGCTTTATTTTTTATAACTTTTTAAAAATTATTTTTAAATTTACATACAGTAAAATTTGCCCTTTCCTGGTGTAGTGTCATACAAGTTCACACACACACACATCCCTGTAACCTTCATAAGTAACCACCATTCACAGAGCACACAGCGATGGCCCCCCCAAAAAGAGCAGCAGGCATCTCCGCCTGCCACAGGCCCTGGCTCTCTCCCAGAAAGGTGTGTCAGTGGAACCAGCCCGTCTGGGACCTCCTAAACTGGCTTTTTTCACTTTTTGGGTTTTTTTTCTGAGACAGGGCCTTGCTGCATCTCCCAGGCTGGAGTGCAGTGGAGCAGTCACAGCTCACTTCAGCCTTGACCTCCCAGGTTCAGGGATCCTCCTGCCTCAGCCTCCTGACCTGCAGTGGTGTCAGCAGCAACCTGTGCACGTCCTCCCGTACACTCTTAAGTCATCTCTAAGATCACTTGCAGCACCTCATTCAGTGTAAATGCCACGTAAATAGTTGTCATCCTGTATTGTTTAGGGTGTAGGGGCAAGAAAAGAAGCACACGTTTGGTACAGACACATCGTTTTTTCTGAATATTTTTCACCCACAGTTGGTTGAATCCATGGATGTGGAACCCACAGCTGTCGAGAGTTGACTGTGCTTGTAGTTACCAGTGGTTGGCATTTCTAGGACCGGAGAATATGAGAGTGTTTAAGGCTTAAAGCTTTGAATTTGGGGTGATTTTACAAAGAATTGGTTTTCTGTTTCTGTTAAAATGTACCTTTTTTGCAATCATACTTCAGCAAGTGGCATGTCGTAATTACTCCATGTTAATTCTTTGGCTGATCACAGCACGGCGTAACCTAGGCCCTGCTGAGGGGGTGCTGAAGTTGAGGAGGGGCCAGGTGTGGTGTGGTCAGCCTGGCCTCCCCGCACATGGCCTTCTCCCTCACCTGCCCCCGGCTGCGTCTCTAAGATGCTCTTGTTGACGAGCAGCTCTGTAGACAGCGCTGGCTGTGCTTCCTTACAGAGGTCGGAAAGGTCTGCTTGGAAGCCAGACGAAACGGCTCCACAGAGTTCCCTGAGGCGCCCAGACCCCGGCCGGCTTCCACCAGCTGCCAGCGAGGAAGCACACACCAGCAATGTCAAGGTAGGAACGGTGCCACGAGTATAGAACTTTGGTGCTTTTTTAAGTCCTGGGTTTGCAAATTGCAGGCAAAGCATTTTTGTGACCACAAGGTTCTCGTCTGCCGGGTGTAGCAGTCACATCACTAAAGGAAAGGACGTTCACAGAATAAACTTCGGCTTGAATTTTGTTTTAATTGTGCACAAATACTGAGTTTCTGTGCTTGTTAAGCGTGGAACGTGGAAGGCTTTGACAAAGTCAGCAAATGGCGGCCTCTGCAGCCTGAGGGAGGCCTGGCCCAGGGGCTTGCCGGGATTCGGCCCAAGATCTGCTGCAGTCTCCTGATGGCACACGGTCCCCACCCCGTGACGTCCATCTCATGCCCAGTTTGGACCTTACCTAAGGGGTGAAATGCAAGAAGCTTCATAGGGGCTCATTTGATGATGCTGTGGAGAGGAGCTTGTGGTCCTAGATCTTGTCTGACAAACACAAATTGATCTTCCAACAGCAAGGTTGTTTCTGGCCACAGATACTGTTGGAAGGCCGATGGCTCTGTGATGATTTGATGGGAAAAAACAATCTGACTCTTTGGAAAGAGCAATGGTGTTAATGTGCTTTTGTCAGCAAGACAGTCTTTGTTTCCTATGATAAAATTTTACTGCTTTTTTTCTTTTAGATGGAAAAATTGTACCTGCATTACTTGAGAGCAGAGAGCTTTAGAAAAGCTCTGATTTATCAAAAGAAGTATCTTTTGCTGTTGATTGGTGGATTCCAGGATTCTGAACAAGAAACACTCTCCATGATTGCCCATTTGGGGGTATTTCCTTCCAAAGCAGAACGGAAAATCACATCTCGTCCTTTCACCAGGTTCCGCACGGCCGTCAGGGTGGTCATTGCAATATTAAGGTAAATGCCATGACGTTCAGTCAGTGCGTTCCGCGTCTGTCTCCGTGAGTGGGCAGCACACTGCATGGTTTTTTGGTCATTTTATTCCTTGAAACTCCATAATATGTTCTTTTTAAAGATGAATGGCATTTGAGGCCTTAGAGAAAATACAGATGATGAACTTGTCTTCAAGAAGTCATGTGTATGAATCTCTCACCTTCTAAAACTAAAGATTTAAGGGCACCTTTGTATTACAGAGGAACATCTTGACTTTTAATGGGTTTCGTGCCACAAAGAACGTGCTGAATTTCTAAAACTGTTTTTCCCCCTAAACACTGTGCGGCTGTGCCTGCTCCCTGATGCCACAGAGGTGTTTCCCAAGGCCACGCGCGGGCCTGTCTGGAGTAGCAGATGCAGCAGAGAGCAGCTAGGAATCCCGCTCCTTTCAGAGACCAGGTGCCGAGCCAGTTCAGTCATCGCGGCTGCAGGCTGGGCCAAAGTGGGGTGCAGGCGAGGCCTCCTGGGTTGCTGTACTCTCAGCTTCTCTGGTCCTGGGGCACTTTGTCTCCTCGTCTCTGAGCTCCCCTGACCGTAGGCCTCCACCGTCCATCCTTCCACCCACCCATCTGTCCATCCTGTGTTCATGGGGAGAACACCCTGCAGGAGGAAGCATTTTAGGCACTAGATAGGGGAGGTAAGCAGACCCAGATCCTACCTCCTGTCGAGGAGGGGAGATCTTTTGAAGGCAGTGGTGTCCCAGAAAGGAGCAGTCTCTGTGTCCCTGTGAGGGCACTGCCTAGGGTAGCTGCCACCAAGGGGCCTTGACAGGTCTTATGGAGGAATCGGCAGTGTCTGCTATGCCTCAAAGGAGGGAAGCCACAGGCATGATGCTTGTTCCGAAGGCCATCCTAGCAGGGCGTCTGGGGCCCTGCACACTGACCTGCATGCCCTCGTCACCTGCACTCTGCATGCTCACCATCTGACGGACTCCTGCGAGGGCTGGGGTCTCCGTGTTCTGAGCCTGTCCAGTGGCATCTGTGACAGGATGAAGATGGGAGGGTCCTGCACACCAGGCGGGAGCGGCATGTGTTTCCTAGTCACTGGTGTGGCCGGCTGACTTTGAACTGGAGTCGTCCTGAGCTGGGCCATGGTGGGTGTCTAGGGGACCATATGGTCCACGGTGGGGCCGCAGTGAGGCTTTGTCAGGTGGTTGGGCATGGGAAGGTCGCCGCCGCCGGCAGCCCTGCGAGCACTTTGGATGTGTGCACCCGGCATGCCAGGCCCGAGTCAACAGACTGGCCGACCTTGGCGTCCTGGTCCCCATGGGCAGCGAGGCCCCCATTCTGCTTGTTTGGTCACAGTGGGGTTTTCATTGCTCTTTCCCTTCCTGTCTTGCCGTACTTTTAAGTGTGTCTTGTCTCTTTTTTTTGTAGATTACGTTTTTTGGTTAAGAAATGGCAAGAAGTAGATCGGAAAGGAGCTCTGGCACAAGGCAAAGCCCCTCGCCCAGGTGGGACTCCAGCTGCTGTTGACCGCTGGACTCACAAACCTTTCTTTCTACTCTTGTTTTTCATTCACTTTGGGTCATTTTTCAGTGTTGATGGGGACGTAATAAAGCACGGTAAGAAAATCCGTGAATTCCGTCAGAGCAGTCGTCCAGAGGGAAGGCGCGCCCGGCGTAGGGAGGTCAGAGCTCATGTTAGCTATGAACACAGGTCACAGGGGCGTACGGCGATGGGAAACACTGAGATGCTCAATATATTGATTATTTAATAGTGTTTAGCAAAATGGTCTTTTTTTATTCCTTAAATCAACTGAAACTCACTTCACGTCTCTTTCCTTGTAGAGCATCATGCTTATTTCTGGCTCACTCACATCTTTGTCTCGGGAGTTCTCTGCCGAGCCATTGCCCCCTACAGCAGAGAGCACAGCTGGCTGCACTAGTGCTGAAGGAGCCAGCCCCAGAGCAGGGCATTTCCAGGGGCTCTTGTCCCAGAGCGGCAGGCGTTGTGTGCAGAGAACGCCCCTCCCACGCAGCACAGAG
Organism: Homo sapiens; assembly: GCF_000001405.40. Lineage (NCBI taxonomy): Eukaryota > Metazoa > Chordata > Mammalia > Primates > Hominidae > Homo > Homo sapiens. Next base: position 46,443,108 of record NC_000021.9, read on the forward strand.
AACGCGGGGTGGGTGTGTGGCTCCGGGCCTGTGGGGCTTAGGCTGCCTGAACCACCGCCGACTGGCACCATGACTCGGCATTCCTGGAAGTGCCTTACCAAGTTGTTGTTGTTGTTTTGTTGTTTTTTAAGAGACGGGCTTGCTCTATCATCCAGGCTCGAGTGCAATGGCACAGTCACAGCTCACTGCAGCCTTGAACTCGTGGGCTCAAGCCATCCTCCTGTGTCAGCCTCCCCAGTACCTGGGACTGTGGGCATGAGCACTGCGCCTGGCAGCTGTATCAGTGTTGACTCCACATTTTAATAGTTGCTTCTTGAAATTAAAATGCTTTGATTCAGCCTTCAAGCCATCAGGAAAGTTTGCCCCTCTGAGTCACACCTGGTGGTCTCCAGGGTTCCTGCCCCTCCCTCCTGAGCCAGCTCCTCAGAGCGGATAGAGGCAGGACCCCCACCCAGGTCTTGAGACCCCCCTGCCCCGCACTCCCCCGGAGACGGGCTACCCCTGCAGATGCAGATAGTCAAAGCTCAGGTTTCTTCCAAAGCTTTTAAAAAGATATTGTACCTTGAGCACTTTAAAAATGTCTTAAAATTGCCATACAGGCTCTTAAAAGCTTATACGTTTAAACTGTTGATAGATGGGCCTTTACTAAAATGCATTCATTTATTTTCCTAATCCCTTGGTTGTTAAATAATTCTGGGGAAGGGCCCCGAGCACGACAGCCGCAGTCTCCACCCAGAACCAGAGAGTCCCCCCCAACCCGGGATGTACCCTCTGGCCACACCAGGGACCCTGCCAGAGGCCGCAGACTGGCAGCAGCAGCCTCCCCACACAGTGGGGGAAGGTCAGTGTGATGCCTTCAGGCCCCGTCTCCTGCCAGGGCTCTCCCTCCAGCCTACATAGGGCCTCAGAGAAATGCATTTTTAGTTCTGGCTTTGGCCCAGCCCAGGGCAAGGCAGGAAACTCTCCAGCGTGAGTCCGTGAGGGCCAAGAAGTCCCGCCCTGTTCTGGGGGAGGACCTGGCTTTTCTGGTGTCTCTGGTGCCCGAGAGCCCGGTGCTGCCATCTTTAGTGAAAGAGTAAATGGTGGCCGAGGGCTCCTTTTGTGAGGGATGTGCCTTGGTGAAGAAGGCATGTTCCCTGCCGTGAAGATACTTGGAAGCTCTGGGTGGAGAGGGAAAAGGGATACCCCTGGTGCTCCCTGGGCCTGGCGGAAGGCTAGGAGGAAGGACAGCTGAGGTGAGGACTGAGTGGGGCAGGTATCACCCTGACAAACAGTTTGGGAAGATCAGGAAAGGCAGGTGAGACCTGGTGCAGAATCCAGGTTGGGTAATAGATACATCGTCGAAGATGTAGCAAGCAAAGTAATATACTCAACTCTGGAACATTGCACAGAAGCTTTTAAAGCACTCTGTGACACTTTTTGTAATGAGGGATCTGAAGGAAACGGCCCCAGAGTCACCCATCCCCACGGGTCTGGTTGGCGGGGCTGGTGCCTTTCTTCTGCACTCAGTCACCATGGCTCCGTCTGTCAAACTCAACTCTTTTTTTTTTTTTTTTTCTTCTCTTGGTGTGGTAATTTGTTTGAAGAGCCACTCCATCCCCAAATTCAAGATTAGAAAGATCCCTGACTGCTTCTCAAGATCCAGAACATTCCTTGACAGAGTATATTCACCATTTAGAAGTGATCCAGCAAAGATTGGGAGGGGTACTACCAGGTAATGCAAGTCCTCGCCGAGTATTTATTAAGCTGATTATCACTGTACCCTGGAAACGTAGGGTCTGTTGAAAGATGGCTGGTATTCAGCTTAGTAACCAAAGTTTCAGTCTGAACAATCAGTGTCACTAATAGTATTAGAATAGAGGCTACAAGTGAAGAATCTCACAGAAGTCTAAGCCAGTGTACTCAGTGATACGTGCTGAGGTCAGTTTGACTTAATCACCGTCTGGACTTTTTTGTCCTTTCTCTTACATTGATAGCGAACATAAAGATTATATTTCGACCAGGATATAATTTGTTCAGTGTTTCTTAAATATCATAATTTAAACCACTGTATAATTCATATTTTTACCAAAATTTACATGAATTCAGTGATAGTGTTTCAAAATTGTGGAATTCTTTTCAAAAAATCTGTGAAGCCTTGTAACCAATTTGCTGCCTCATTTTTATTTATATGCAGATTCTACTTCAAAGAAATCCTGCCACCCGATGATTAAACAGTGAATAAAATGTCATGGCTCTTTCCTGCGACAATTCTATTTGAGGAAAAGATTTGTTTTTCCCTTTTCCCAAGGAAGCTCGTGGGACAGCATGGGCACTACTCTTCATGTGCGGTGACACCAGCCCCCAGATGCCTTGAATTAAGTGTCCTCACCTTTATGCATGACTGCAAAGCCAGCTGGAGCATTTTCTATGGAGCCTCCGTATGTTTTAGGCCCATGACCTTCGTGAGGTGACGGGCACTCACTCCCATGAGCCCTGGCTGTGTGCTGTTGTGTGCCTATCGGCAGATCCATCCTTCCTGCCTCCAAGGAGGATACACAGAGAATGGCTTCCTGTTGTTTTGTTTATTTTCTTAACGTGTACAGATGGAAACTTCATTTAAAAATAAAAACAAAACAACTCAAAAAGGAATAAAATTTAATCACTGTTTTGTTTGTGAATAGCCCTTGTGTTGTTTTTTTTTTCCATTTTATCCATTTTATCAGTTTGCCTTTCTCACTGACTAAAAAATTGAGCAGAGAGTTTATGTTAAACTCGTAAGTCAAAAATTTTCAGTGGAACCCGGAGCATTCTTGAATAGCCACTTGACTGTTGTTTACTCTTACTTGGTTTCTTATTTTTTTAAAGATGCTGCCACTATGTATCCACCTCTCATGGCCATGCTTTTTGTTTTTGAGATGGGAGTCTCCCTCTGTCACCCAGGCTGGAGTGCAATGGTGCAATCTCGGCTCACTGCAACCGCCGCCTCCTGGGCTCAAGCAACTCTCCTGCCTCAGCCTCCTGAGTAGCTGGGATTACAGGCGCCCACCACCAGGCCCAGCTAATTTTTGTATTTTTAGTAGAGACAGAGTTTCACCATGTTGGCCAGGCTGGTTTGAATTCCTGACCTCAAATGATCCATCCTCCTCGGCCTCCCAAAGTGTTGGGATTACAGGTGTGAGCCACCACGCCCGGCTGGCTGTGCTTTTTTATGTTTCACTCATACTCGCTTAGACTAGACAGTAATACCTAGCCAAGGACCCTTTATCCAAAAATGTACTAGATGGGTATAATTTTTTTATTTTTAGAGACAAGGTCTCGCTCTGTCACCCAGGCTGGAGTACAGTGGCACAATCACAACTCACTGCAGCCTTGACCTACCAAGCCCAAATGATCCGCCTGCTTAGCCTCCCGAGTAGTTGGGACTACAGGTGCGCACCACCACGCCTGGCACTAATTTTCGTATTTCTTTTAGAGACAAGGTTTCACTTTGTTTCCCGGCCTGGTTTCAAGCTCCTGGCTCAAGCAATCCTACTGTCTCTGCCTCCCGAGTAGCTGGGAGTACAGGCACGCACTGCCACATTGAGCTAGTTGTTTTTTGTTTTTTTTTTTTTTTAAGTAGAGATGGAGTTTCACTCTGTTGCCCACACTGGTCTTGAACCCCTAGCTTCAAGTGATCCTCCTGCCTTGGCCTCCCAAAGTGCTGGGAATACAGGCTCAAGACACTGTGTCCAGCCCTAACTTATAGTTTATTGAAGGAAAAATAAATGAAACCATGAGGAAAAAGATGAACATGGGCTATTCTACAGTTAACTGCCCTCGTTTCATCAAAGACAATGGGACATGAATGTGAGGAGCCTGTTCTAGCTTGAAGCCAAGAAGCTGTCAGCCGGGTGTGGTGGCTCACACCTGTAATCCCAGCACTTTGGGAGGTCGAGGTGGCCAGATCACAAGGTCAGGAGTTTGAGACCAGCCTAACCAACATGGCAAAACCCGGTCTCTACTAAAAATACAAAAATTAGCCGGGTGTGGTGGCAGGCCCCTGTAATCCCAGCTACTCGGGAGGCTGAGGCAGGAGGATCACTTGAACCCAGGAGGCGGAGGCTGCACTGAGCCGAAAGTCCTCGGTACCAAAAGGTGCCAGTGAAGACACTAGATTGCAGATAAGGATGTTCCTGTTTTCATTGTGTATGAGCCACCCAGTTTCCCTCAAAAATTGGGATCAATAGCACCAGTTAGTGCAGTAACTCCATCCCTGGGTGTTGGCTCAGGCAGCAGTCTCAACTGCTAGTTCAAAGTTCAAAATACCACCATTGTCGTACCTGGTAGAAGCAGTCCTCCCTTGGGACAGTGGAGTTCAGAGTTACAAGATGAGAAGCAAAAATTCCTTCTGGGGTTACTTGGCATAACAGTAAGAGGGGCCATTCCTATCTGCAGCCCTTAGGTTTCCAAGCCAGCATATGCTGGCTGTGGGAGAAGTAGCACTAGGTATTGTTCAGTTAAAGCCTATACCACATCCTGTATTATAACATCCATATTGACAGGGCATTGTCTCCAATCTGGCATCATAACTGAGCCTTCGGGAGGCCTTTCCACCATCCACTAAGCAAGCTACTTCTGACTGATAGGAGTTTGGGGTAAGATGAGGGCATCGTACAACCACATGCTTAGAGCCACACTTGCTCTCAGAAGAGTTTTCTGGTTAGAAGCGATGATGAATTAGGAATTTGGGAAGTCTGCAAATGAGTGTTGGGCGGGAAAAGCAAATTCATATGCAGAATAGGAATGGATAGATGCAGGGGGACAGCAGAGCTGGAGAACTGCATGGGAGCCTGGGCTACCGTTCATGCTGCCTGCTGCCGCCTCCCTGACCTGCTGGAGGCTTGTCTCCTTTTCTAACACGAGCTGCCTGTCCTACAGTTCCATTCTGACACTACCTAGAGTCAGAATGGACACAGTTCCCACAAGTTAAGGACAAAGTCCTTCCATTTTTAATTAATTTATTTTTGTAGAGATGGGGGGTCTCCCTGTTGCCCAGGCTGGTCTCGAATTCCTGGGCTCAAGTGATCCTATCTTGGCCTCCCAAAGTGCTGGGATTACAGGCGTGAACCACAGTGCCTGGCCTAAAGTCCTTCAATTCTGGTACTACCTGGAGTCAGCACAGACCCTAAAAGCTAAGGACTCAGTCTCCACGTCAGACGTCAGCCACAAGTGGTGTTTCCAGGCTACCCGCAATTCTGCCCAGCCAATTTATAAGTTTGTGGGGTTTTCAGCCCCACCCCTGTAGGTTTAATAATTTACTAGAATGATGCAAAGTACTATTCTTGGGATTACCAGTTTATTATACAGGGTACAACAAAGGAACAGCCAAATGGAAGAGGTGAGCAGGACAGGTATGGGGCTCAGAGCTTCTGTGTCCACTGCAGGCGTGCTGCCCTCCCAGCACTATCGGGGGAACCCATCCCCAATATTTCAACGTAGGTTCTTTCTATTTTCCCTAAGTGTCGGCCAGTCTGAGAAATAGAGTACAAAGAGGAAGTTTAGAGCTGGGCTGCCAGGGGTGACATCACATAGTGGTAGGACCGTGATGCCCACCTGAGCCGCACAACCAGCAGGTTTTTATTAAGGACTTCAAAAGGGGAGGGGGTGTACGAACAGGGAGTAGGTCACAAAGATCACATGCTTCAAAGGGCAAAAGGGAGAACAAAGATTACGTGCTTCTGAGGCCAATAAAGATCACAAGGCAAAGGGCAAAATCAAAAACTCCTGGTAAGGGTCTATGTTCAGCTGTGCATGTATTGTCTTGATAAACATCTTAAACAACAGAAAACAGGGTTCAAGAGCAGAGAACCAGTCTGACCTCAGATTTACCAGGGAGTGGTTTTTTCCCCCACCCTAACAATCCTGAGGGTACTGCAGGAGACCAGGGCGTATTTCAGTCTTTATCTCAACTGCGTAAGACAGACACTCCCAGAGCAAGCATTTATAGACCTCCCCCAAGGAATGCAATTATTTTCCTAGGGTCTTAATATTCCTTGTTAGGAAAAGAATTTAGCGATATCTCTCCTACTTGCACGTCCGTTTATAGGCTCTCTGCAAGAAGAAAAATATGGCTCTTTTTGCCCGAACCCACAGGCAGTCAGACCTTATGGTTGTCTTCCCTTGTTCCCTAAAATCGCTGTTCTGTTCATTTTCAAGGTGCACTGATTTCATTATTGTTCAAACACACGTTTTTTTTTTTTTTTGGTTTGTTTGTTTTTTGAGATGGAGTCTCACTCTGTCGCCCAGGCTGGAGTGCAGTGGCGCCATCTCAGCTCACTGCAAGCTCCATCTCCCAGGTTCATGCCATTCTCCTTCCTCAGCCTCCCGAGTAGCTGGGACTACAGGTGCCTGCCACCACACCCGGCTGATTTTTTGTATTTTTAGTAGAGACGGGTTTTCACTGTGTTAGCCAGGATGGTCTTGATCTCCTGGCCTCGTCAAATGCACGTTTTACAATCGATTTGTACAGTTAATGCAATCATCACAGTGGACCTGAGGTGACATACATCCTCAGCTTACGAAGATAACAGGATTGAGATTAGACAGGCATAAGAAATTATAAGAGTATTACTAGGAAGTGATAAACGTCCATGAAATCTTCACAATTTATGTCCCTCTGCCGCGGCTCCAGCCGGTCCCTCGGTTTGGGGTCCCTGACTTCCCGCAACACAGCACAACCCAGAACCTCTGTAAGCCTCATTGGCTAAGAGTTTTTATCAAGGCCTCATTACATAGTCATGATGGATTGGATTATTGATCACATGATTGAACTTAAACTCCAACCCCCTCCCCTCTCCAGAGGTTTGAGGGTGGGGCTGAAAATCCTAATCCTCCAATCATGTGGTTGGGTCCTCTGGTGTCCAGCCCCCACCTTGAAGGGGCCCCACCACAATCACCTCAAAAGCCTGAATAGAAAACTTTTAATGACTGCACCTGGGATGGATGCCTGATATGGTTTGGATCTGTGTGTCTGCCCAATCTCATGCTGAATTCTAATCCCTAATGTTGGAGGTGGGACCTGGTGGGAGGTTACTGGATCATGGGGACAGTTCCTCGTGAATGGTTTAACACCTGGGTGCTGTCCTCAGACAGTGAATGAGTTCTCACGAGATCTGGTTGTTCAAGTGTGTGGCACCTCCATCCTCTCTCTGCCTCCTAATACAGCCATGTGAAGTGCCTTGCTCCCCCTTTGTCTTCTGCCATGATTGGAAGCTTCCTGAGGCCTCCCCAAAGGAAAAGCCACTATGCTTACTGTACAGCCTGCAGAACCGTGAGCCAAATATACCTCTTTTCTTTATAAATTATCCAGTCTCAGGCATTTTTTTTTTTTAGATGGAGACTTGCTCTGTCACCCAGGCTTAAATGGCACAATCTTGGCTCACTGCAACCTCCGCCTCCCGGGTTCAAGCAATTATCCTGTCTCAGCCTCCTGAGTAGCTGAGACTACAGGTGCACGCCACCAGGCCCGACTAATTTTTGTACTTTTAGTAGAGACAGAGTTTCACCATATTGGTCAGGCTGGTCTCGAACTCCTGACCTCAGGTGATCCACCGGCTTTGGCCTCCCAAAGTGCTGGGATTACAGGCCTCAGCCACCACACCTGGCCTCAGGCATTTCTTTATAGCAGTGTGAGAACAAATACAGTGCCTCACAGAGAGATGCTGATTCTCAAAACCCAACAATACCACCTTGCTTGCAGACCCCCAAGACTCTGATCCCAATACAGCCCACAGAAGCATGAGGCATACCATAGGAGGACAGCCTATACACAAATCATTAAACTGGACATAAACAGCATTCCACTGAAACTGGAAATAATATACACAAAACTATGCCTGAACAGATTCAGAAGGCATAAGTATGTGACCCAAGTGAGTGACCAAACACATGCTGCCGCCTCTTCTACTTCACACCCCTCAGTCTACATCTGTGGTTTCACGGGACGCTCCCTAGGACCAGTTGACAGAAGACGAAAAAATACAGGTTTGTTCTACCAACGGATCCATACGGTATGGTGGCATGAACCATAAATAGTTGCTACACTAGTGACTCACACCTGAAATCCCAGCACTTTGGGAGGCTAAGGCAGGCGGATCATGAGGTCAGGAGATTGAGACTATCCTGACCACCGTGGTGAAATCCCATCTCTACTAAAAGACACAAAATTAGCCGGGCATGGTGGCGTGTGCCTGTAGTCCCAGCTACTCGGGAGGCGGAGGCAGGGGAATCGCTTGAACCCGGGAGGCAGAGGTTGCAGTGAGCTGAGATCGCGCCACTGCACTCCAGCCTGGAAGACCGAGTGAGACTCCGTCTCAAAAAACAAACAAAAAGATGGTTGCTACACTACAACCTAGTTTAGGGTTGGATTTTTGAAGATTTCCAGCTGGCAAAACTTGGGAGGGTACAGCTGGTGGTCCATCTTATGTGGAAAGGAAGGTGTCTGAATTTACTGATCTGCAAGCATTCCCATGCAGTTACGCACTGTCCAGCTGGTCAATAACAGAAAGATTGCAAAGAACGGTTTCAAGGAAGTCTTCAGTGCCGGGCTCAGTGGCTCATGCCTTTGGGAGGCTGTGCCTTTAGCATGCTGTCTCAGCGCTCTGCCAGGCAGGAGGGCCCATGGACACTACACTTCCTTGGCTATAAAGTGAATCTCGTTTGAAATGTTGTGTGCTTATGTCAGTGAAACAAACACTCCTTAAGCCTTTCTGGCTGACACTTGTGAGTAGGAAAAGACAAGCCTCGTATCTGGAATATGAGACTATTCTTGTGAAAAGTGAACCACCAGCCCTTCCAGGATGGGAGAGTTCCAATACAGTAAACTCTCCTTATAAAATGGGGACTATGTCTAAAGACCTCTGTAAACCTGGATGTTTGTGCTCCTTGATGAAGTGACCCACAATGGGAGTATAGCACTGGTCTCTTTTGCTGGCAGGTTAGATATTTAGGGGCAGCTAGATATTAACCAAAGCCGGGTAGATCTCTTTTGCTGGCAGGTTAGATATTCAGGGGCAGCTAGATATTAACCAAAGCTGGGTAGAGAGCATGGGTTGCTGTCAGGCCCATGAACAGCGTCCATCACCTTGGCTACCTTGTCCATGTGCCCATCATGCCAGTAGTACAGTAGCCAATAAAAGATGCTGTCCAATATCAACTGGCTGAGTCAACTGTCTACTTGGTTGTATAATGCTTCTTTCATGGATGCTCTCTGGTGGGCATTAACATTGTATACAAAGAACATTGTACTTCGTGCTATTCCAATTTATCTGACCACATAAATCTACCACACACCTCCTTATCTCCAACTTCCGATTGTTTTCCTTCCAGGCCCTTAACCAGTTACCCAGGCCCTCTAGCATTGCCCATGGCTCCATGTATATTCTCACCTTGGGCTACTTCTTCCACAAAAAAGTGGACGACCAGGAGCTCTGCCTGAAATTCTGCCTATTGAGAGGATATGCCCTTATCACCATTTTTCAAGGTCACCCCTGAGAAGGCTGTAATGTAGCTGCTATTTTCATTTTGAACTCATACTGAGCCAACCCATTTATACACCATGCTCACGATTTTTACTCCTGTCAACTGGCTATAAGGGCCCCCTCACACTGTCACAGGTGTGAAATGACATTGTGGCTGATCCAACAGTTCTGGAAGTCATGTGCATCTGTGCTCTGCAGCTCATTTGGTAACCTCTGTACATTCTCATGCTCAACCTTGAATATACTACTTCCATATTATGAGGGACCGTTGCTGGCCCCAACTGATGTTATGACTTTTGCTAGTTTAACATTAACAGGCAGTTCTGGTTGCATGGTCACCTGGTGGCTTACGGTCAGGCGTTCCATCTCTGTCAGAGACAAGTGGCATACCAGAAGACAGATCTACACCCGCCCGCCCCCCAAATGCATACAATTCTCTGCTCCAGGTGGCATGACAGAATCTCTACATTGCATCATTCTGCACCATTAATAACACCAAAAAAACACCTGTTGGACTATATGGCCCAGGCAATAGCATTACTTCATCACAACCCGGATCTACTGTACAGACGTTTCCAGTTCTGGGCTCTTTCCAAAATTGGAAATCTCCCAATTCCACTAGTCTCTGGACCAGAGCAATACTCCCAGGTGTGGGACATGCTGCCTCCAGAACCTGAGGCAAGAACTAGCTCGAGAACCAACAAGCGTCTTGCTTTCTTAACGGCAGGAGGTGCAAGCAGCAATAATTCATTCGCTTTTGGAAGGGATGCCCTAGAGCACCCCTGACCACTGGAGCCCTAAAAATGTTAGGATTGTAGCAGGCTCCTGGATTCCTGTAGGGTTTATATGCCACTCTCTGGAGCAGCTGTCTCCAGGATCTTCTGCACTTCTCATCTGGCTGATCAACATGTCACTGATGTAAAGGAACAATGTAATATTCTACAGGATGTCTAGGTGGTCCAGATCTCTTTGGATTACGACAGAGAGCAAGAGAAGTAACATAACCTTCCGGCAAAACTGCATTTTAATTCCATGCAAATGCAAAATGTTTTTGATCCCTGATAGGTACAGAAAAGAACAAATCCACCTAGTCAACAACTACCTACCATATCTGGCAGAGAGGCTATTACGGATACTTTTTTTTTTTTTTTTTGAGATAGAGTCTCACACTGTCACCTGGGCTGGAGTGCAATGGCATGATCTCGGCTCACTGCAACCTCCACCTCCCAGGTTCATGGGATTCTCCTGCCTCAGCCTCCCAAGTAGCTGGGATTACAGGTGCACACCACCACACCCAGCTAATTTTTTGTATTTTTAGTAGAGACAGGGTTTCACTATGTTGGCCAGACTGAACTCCTGACCTCGTGTTCCGCCCACCTTATCCTCCCAAAGTGCTGGGATTACAGGCGTGAGCCACTGTGCCCGGCCAGGGATACTTCTTAGATGAGTTTGCAGCAGTGTACCCAAAACAACTACTGGTTGACAGCAAATAGAGTAGGCTGCCATTCTCCAGGATCCTTGTGACTTCTGCAGGGGTCATGCTGGTAAATTAAAAATGTTGGTAACCACCACTTTACATCACTTGGATCCTTAGAAGTGGCACTTATCTCTGCCATTCCCGCTCTGGGATAATTGTTTTATAATCTTGGTAGGGGATGGGGCAGTTTCAGGTTTCTGTTTGGCTTTTTCCATTTTGTTATCTAACTCTATAGGTCAGGGACCTGGAATGAGCATTCACTGCCAAGTATGTCAATGCCAATTACTCACTCGAAGGCTAAGAAAATATCACTAGATCAGTCCACTAGGTCTACGGGTCCACTGTAAGCTGGACCTTTAGCAGAACTCCATCAATTACCTGGCCACCACATGCAGCCACTCTAACAGAAGGGGATGATATTCTAGGCATCTGGACATCAATTTAGACCCTGTGTCCACAAGTCTTCCAAATGTTTGGCTAATCACTTTTCTCCAGGATGTAGTTATCAAAAGAAATTGCTATCAGACCCTTTGGAAAAGTACCTGGGGATTCATTTCTGTTGTACTTGTACTGTTATAGGTCCTTCTTCCTGGTGTTTGGCCACCTCTCAAGTAATGTTTCCATTTCTGAAAACTGGCTCAGTTCCAGAAGCTGGGCATGGAATCCTGATTTTTTAAAACTGGGACAAGCATCTTTATTTATTTTTTTCAATTGAGACAGTCTTGCCACATTGCCCGGGCTGGAGTGCAGTGGTGCAACCACAGCTCACTGTAATCTTGAACTCCTGGGCTCAAGTGATCCTCCCACCTTAGCTTCCCCAAATGCTGAGATTACAGGCACAGGCCACCGTGCCTGGATGGATTTTTTTTTTTTTTTTTTTTTTTGCCAGCTGAGTAGTACCCTTCTTAGCTGCCCACCTGTTTTGCCTCCAGGGATGCCATGTTTATTGACCAGTTCTATAACCATACAAGTGAGGTCCCCTTGGCTGCCACTCAGACCCTGCTGGCTGCTATAATTGCAATCCTCTGACTTCTGCCAGCTAAGTGTTGCCTTTGGCTTCTTGGGTTTTTTTCTTTGGTCCCCACTATGTCCCAGAATGGCCTCTTTTGTCTTAGGATCCTATCATCCCCAGTGCTATCACCCAGCCAAGTTCTGGAACAGCCTTTCTATTGTCATTCTTGCCTACAGAGATGAGCCATCACTGAATATTTTAGTGACATCAGTGCCCCTTTCATCATCCTATGTCTAATGATCTTTATAAATGACGTGTTATTTACACCTTCATGTGGAATATGATCGTCTCAAATGTCTTCTAGATGCACGGAGTATATAAATTTCAACATGCCCACACCCCTGAACCTTTTACTCCCTTCCACCACTGTCTGCCATAGCAATTTTGCCATTTCAATTTTGCTTACCATGGCCCATGGCTTTTTCCAAGTGTGGTGTTTTAAAAATATACTGGCAAATTTTTTGATATTCTTCCCTTTAGAAGATGAAGCCTAATTCCTCTCCTTTTGAATATGGGTAATTTAGTGACTCATTTCTTCCAAATAGGAAGTAGCCGAAGTGATGGTATGCAACTTCTGAGGCTGGTTCACAAAAAGGATACAGCTTTCTTTTGTCCTTTGTCTTTAGATTGCCCTTGGAATCCAGCCATCATATTGTGAGAAAGCCTCGGCCACAGGGACCGGCCGTGTAGGGGTGTGCTGGCTGACATCCCCAATCTGGGCTGCAGCCAATCTCCAGTATCAGCTGTCAGACATTCGAGCAGATGAACCTTCACTCATTCCAACCTCTAGCCTCTGAACTGCTCCAGCTGAGGCCTCAGACACTGTGGAAGAGAGATAACCAATCCCCACTATGTCTGACCCACAGTAACCTAGAGAGATCACCGATCCCCACTATGTCTGACCCACAGTAACCTAGAGATAAGAAATGATTCTTGTTTTAAGCCACGAAGTGTGGAGTAATTTGTTAGGCAGCAGTAGCTATACCGCCATTCTAGGAGCCATCCTTGCAGGAAGTCTGCAGCCACTCTTTGCCAAGGTGTTAAATCACGTATTTCAATAAACACATCTATGCAAGTTTACATTCCAGCTCCCTTCATCAAGCACCCTCATAATCCAGCCCCAAACTTTCCCAGCTCCTGTCAGTACATGTTGGCTGGGTGGTACAGCTTGTTATGGGCTGAAGTGTGTCCCTCTCAAAAGATGCTGAAGCCCTAACCCCTGGTCAATGTGAATGTGACATTATTTGGAAATGGGTCTTTGTAGACAAGTTAAGATGCGCTCATTAGAGTGGGCCCTAATCAGTATGACTGGTGTCCTTCTAAAAAGAGGCCCATGTCGAATGACCTTTGTCAATGATGTTACTTATGCCTTCGTCTGGAGAGACACACACAACAAGATCACCATGTGAATATAAAGGCAGGACTGGGACAATGCCTCTATAAGCCAAGGAACCAAAGACTGCCAGCAAACCACCAGAAGCTGGGAGAGAGGCATGAGACAGATTCTCCCTCCCAGCCCCAGAAGGAACCAACCCTGTGAAAACTTTGATCTCAGACTTCTAGCCTCCAGAACTGGGAGACAATAAATGTCTGCCCAGTTTGTTACTGAAGCCCCAGCAAACTAATAACGCAGTTCTTCTGAGGGGGAGGGAGCTATATTCTCTTTTCTATCTCATTGTTTCCAGCTGAATAATGCAAAAGAAACAACCATAATTATACATCTACTGAGCAGTAAGTGGAGGGAGGAGGAGTAGTGTCAGGTTAATAGGAGAGGTGAGCCACCCCGGCAGGCTTCAGGTTCAAGGCAGGCCAGGTGTGATGGCTCACTGGAGCCTAGAAGTTTGAGACAAGCCCGGGCAACATAGCAAGACCTTGCCTCTACAAGTAATAAAAAATGTATCCAGGTGTGGTGACACATACCTGTAGTCCCAGTTACTTAGGAGGCTCAGGTGGGAGGATCGTTTGAGCCCAGGAAGTTGAGGCTACAGTGGGCCATGATCCAGCAACTGCACTCCAGCCTGGGCAACAGAGTGAGACACTGTCTACGAAAAAAAGGTTTAAGGCAGTTTGGGGAGTCAAAACCTTTGAAGGCATCTACCCAGGTATCTCCAACCCATGTATGACGGGCTTTTCTTTTCTTTCTTTTTTTTTTTTAAAAGACAGAGTCTCACTCCTGTTGCCCAGGCTGGAGTGCAGTCACAGCTCACTACAGCCCTGACTTCCAGGGCTCAGGTGATCCACCCACCTTAGCCTCCCAAGCAGCTGGGACCACAGCCGTGGCCACCATGCCCGGCTAATTTTTTGTGTTTTCAGTAGAGATGGGGTTTTGTCATGTTGCCCAAGCTGGTCTTGAACTCCTGAACTCAAGCAATCTTCCCGCCTTGGCCTCCCAAAGTGCTGGGATTACAGGTGTGAGCCACTGTGCCCAGCCTCATCTTTTCTTAGCAGGGATCCAAACTTAGTGGAAGAGTATTGCCTTGTTTGGGTGTTTTGCTATTTTTGGAGTTCAGTCAAACAGGGATGTTAATTCCTGGGCCTGGTTCTTGTCTTTGACCTGCTGCAGTAAATGAAGCTTCTCTATATGTAACGGGACAGATTCACTGGCTTACAACTGTTTGTTGCTTGCCTTCAGCTGACCACTATTCTTAAGAGTCTCGGTTGGCACTAAGCAATAGCTATCCAATCCCCCTTTCCTTCCTTTTATCTACTACGTTCACCATATATGAAATGTCTGATACTTCACCCACTCGTGGATTCCATTTCACTAGTTCACCCTCCTACTTCACCACTGGTGAGTGATGCAGCCTCGAATCCCATCTTCTCACCAGCTTTAATGCTGCAGAATGGTTTCTCCAGAAGCAGACGCTGCGACTGAGTTTGGGGTACGAGGATGTTGACATGGTATCAACACCCGTGAAAGGAAGGGGAAGGAAGCAGGACTGGGCGGAGGAAGAAGGGTATGTAAGTCCCGCAAAGCTTTGGCCAACCTCGTGTGGAGCTCTGGAACGAGAACTGCTGAAGTTCGCCAGACTCGGGCACTCCTGCCTAACTCAGTAACAGGCGGGCGGCATCGGGACACGGACACGCTGCTCAGGCCCCGCCACAGCCACCCTCGCACCGTCAGACACACTCCCACACATTCGGGGAGCAGGGCCTTCAGGACGCCGGCGGCGCCCTCTCAGTCTAGCTCCGCCAGGCCCCTCGTCCGTCCTCCCGCCCTCCAAGGTCACCTCGCGGTCCGACATGGCTGCTGGGGCTCCTTCGGGGCCAACGATGTGTACTTCTAGGGCTGTTTTTTAAAGCAAAGGAGTGAACACAGGTAAAGGCACGAGAAAGGTGCCTCGACGCCACCACGGACTGCGCAGCGTTCGCGATCAGCACAGCCCGAAAGGGAAGACAGCGGTCAACGCGGACGCGCCATGGCGCGGGGACCAAGGAGGAGCCCCGAGAGGGGCGGGGCTGGCCGGAGGGCCGCGCGCGGGGCCACCAGCGGCGCCTAGGGGTCAGCGCCAACGCCCACGGGTTGGTCATCCCCACTTAGGCGCCTCGGGCCGCAACTAAGCAGCCTGCCCGCCTCAAGCCCGCCACCCTCAAGCAGGCCCAGCGCAGAGCCTGTCGGGAGCGGCGCTCTCCCGCCTCTCCCAATGGGAGCCCGGAGCGGCATCGACGCGTCTTCGGGGCCAATGGAAGCGAGGCTCTGGTGTTGCTGGGCGGGGCCGGGAGGGCTGCGCGGGCCCGAGACCCACTGCGCACGCGCGCTCGCTACCCGCCCTTCCCGCCGCGCACGCGCTCCCGTGTAGGGCCGGCCGGGCGCTCAGGAGCGCGCGGGGCAGCGGCGGCGCGGCGGAGCCATCCGCGCTCGTGCCCGCGCGGGTGCGTTGCTGTCCTGGCCGCGCCCCTGTCCCGCCGCCTCCCGCTCCTCGCCTGGCGGATGTAGGTTGTTGGCCTGAGGGGAGCTACGTAGCCGAGGTTTGCGCTGCCGCCGCCAGGCCCGGTCCGGTTCCAGCCTCTGCCCGGACGCTAGCCGGCCTGGCCATGGCTGACCGCGGGTGCCCGCTGGAGGCGGCGCCGCTGCCTGCCGAGGTGCGGGAGAGCCTGGCTGAGCTGGAGCTGGAGCTGTCGGAAGGTGAGCCGGACCCCGCCCTCAACCCCCGCGACCCGCCCTCAGCCCGGTCCCCCGCGCAGCCCCTCACTCCGGGACCCCCGCGCGGCCCCTCACTCCAGGACCCCCGCCCTTCACCCCCGGGACCCCCACGCGGCCTCGCCCCTGGGACCTCTGCCCCTCAACGGGACCCCGGTTCCTCTACCCTGGAACCCGCCCCTCGCCCCGGAGACACCGTTCCTCAACCCTAGGACCCCGCCCCTCATGTGGGACCCCAGCACGACCCCTCGCCCCGAGACCCCGGCCCCTTACCCCCGGGAACTCCCGCCCCTCACCCCCGGGACCTCCTGCCCCTCACCCCCGGAACCCCGCGCGGCCCCTCACCCCGGGGACCCCGCCCTTCACCCTGGGAGCCCCGCGCTGCCCCTCCGGACTCCCGACCCTCAGCCCCGGGACACCCGCGCGGCCCCTCAAACCAGGGACCACTGCCCCGCCTCTCATACAAGGACCCCTCCCCCATACAAGGACTCCTCCCCCCAGGCCCTTCACACCTGGGACCCTTACTCCTCACCCCGGGACGCCTGCCAAACTTCTGGAGACCTTTCCCTATCCCCAGCTGCTCCCCCAATGGGATCCGACCCCAAGGACTGGCTTTGACTAGGTCGTTTGGACAGGTGTGAGAATCTTGAGAGGAATGACCACTTTTGCCCCAAGCTGTGAGCCCCGCTTTTCTCAAGGCTGTAGGTCTGGGCTTGGTCTGGGCTTCACCAGGATGACTGCGCCCGTTGTCCGCAGGCAGCTACTTCCCTTGGAGCTGGGAGCCCTTGCCGCGCGCCTCATACTCTAGGAGCTGCACCCTGTGCCTCATTTTATTATCTATAAAGTGGGGTTATACCAGCACTTTCCATTTTGGATTGTTATGAGGCTAAAATACCTTAATATATGCAAAGCACATAACACTTAGGAGTTGTTAGCCCCCTCATGGAATTTTTTAAAGTAAAAAAAAAAAGTCGTATAAATGGTTGGTTGATAAAAATAGACTGGAGTAATCTGGCTTCAGAGGTGGTGGGTGGCATTTCCCATTTGGATGTTATCCCTTTCAAGGCCTGTGTCCTGATATTCCTTTTGGCTGTCTTTGGGAAAGAGTTAAGTTCTTCTCCAGTGTCAGAAAGGACTTGCAGTCCTTGAAGAAAAGCATGTAATTGATTCTTACTCTGTTTTTGAGATCTAAATGCATTTTCAGCTTTTAGAATCCATTTTTTAAATAATCTTATTATCCTTAATTTAAGTTTCAGATTGATAAGATTTTGCTGGGTCTGGGGTAGTTATTTCTCAAAACATCTAAATAATATGCACTAGCATACAGTAAGTCATTTAATCCTTGCCAACCTTAGGGAGGTAGATGCTGTTGTGATCTTGTTTTACATATAATACAACATGTACTTGCAACTATTTTGAATTCAGCATTCAGATTTTTAACAATGTTGTGACATGTGGCACATTTTTTTTTTTTGAGACGGAGTCTTGCTCTGTTGCCCAGGCTGGAGTGCAATGGCGTGATCTCGGCTCACTGCAACCTCTGCCTCCCAGGTAGAAATGATTCTTCTGCCTCAGCCTCCCGAGTAGCTGGGATTACAGGGGCTTGCCACCACGCCCAGCTAATTTTCGTATTTTTAGTAGAGGCAAGGTATCACCATGTTGACCAGGCTGGTCTCAAACTCCTGACCTCAGGTGGTCCGCCTGCCTCGGCCTCCCAAAGTGCTGGGATTACAGGCATGAGCCACCGTGCCTGGCTTGTGGCACATTTTTAAAAATGGAAGTACAGGCTGAGTACACAGTGGCTCATGCTTGTAATCCCAACACTTTGGGAGGCCACGTTGGCTTGGAGACGGGAGTTCAGAACAGCTTGGGTAACATAGCAAGACTCTGTCTCTACAGTATTAAAAAAAATTAGCTGGGCATGGTGGTGTGCACCTGTAGTCCCAGCTACTTGGGAGGCTGAGGCAGGAGGATCACCTGAGCACTGGAGCACTCCAGCCTGGGCAACAGAGCGAGAACCTGTCTCTTCTCACCAAAAAAAAAAAAAAAAAAAAAAGGAAAGAAATGGATGGATTTGAGAATTCTTGGTGATTAGATGCTCCTAGGCAGTCTGACAAACTTAAATTAGGAATGGGTTTGACAGGATCTACTGTACTGCATTTGTTAAGGCTCTTTAGGGAAAATCACATATACGCAGTTTAGATTCTGTGCATTTCAAACATATTTTTGCGTATTGCTCCTAATTTCTGCTCCAATGTATTCATTATTCCCTCAATTTTTTGTGTTGTAGTTGTGTTTGAGTGCTTGCTAGGCATTGACAATTGAATCCTTTCCTCAAAGAACTTTATAATTTGTGCGACAGAACACAAGTACTTAAATGAAAGAAATGTTTCCTATCTGTTGGATCCATTTATGCTATTGTCATCTTAGAGATATGTAGGGGATGTATAGGTAAGTAAAGGTATAAGATTATGTAACATGGAGAGGAACCTCGAAAAATAGCTTAAGCTGAGAAAGGGGGTAAACAAAAAAAGTATTGAGCCCAGAAATGGTGGCTTAGGCCTGTTATGTTTGCATTTTGGGAGGCCCAGGCAGGAGGATCACTTGAGCCCAGGAGTTTGAGACCAGCCTAGGCAACATAGGGAGACCCTGCCTCTTCCAAAAAAAAAAAAAAATTGGCTGGGCATGGTGGTGTGTGCCTGTAGTCCCAGCTACTTGAGGGGCCGAGGTGGGAGGATCACCTGACGAGGTTGTGAGCCTTTATAGTGTCACTGCATTCCAGCCTGGGAGACAGAGTGGGACCTTGTCTCAAAAAAAAGTGTTAAAGGGAAGACAGCAGAGAACAGAGTAGTAGAGTGGCAGCCAAGGAGGTGGAAGCTCTGGCTTCTTGGCTTCTTTCCCTGCTCCTAGACTGGCCTGACACTTTTCTTTTGGCCAAAATAGGTCAGTGATTACTTAGGCACAGTCACACGTGGACCTGCTTCCAGGGCGCTTCCACAGGTTAATGCTGGCTTATGTAGTTTATGTGGTGGTTGTTGTTGACGTGGGCTCTCCCTGTTGGATTTGGAGATGCTTACTGGTAAGGACTTTGTTTTAGGCAGATTTTTGGCTTCTTCACACAGTGGTGGGCATCTGGTAAAGTGTCTGTGAATCTCCTGTGGATTACAATGTCTCTAAACGTGGGTTTAGTTAGCTGTAAAAGGGGGTGAATACCAGCTTTATTGACATTCCAGGTTTATTGTCAAGATTCAGTCACATAGTGTGTGTGAAAATGCTTCGAAACTGGTAAGGTGTTTTATTTATATAATTAAAGGGAGATATTAGTAATGAGTTATAGTCCTAAAACAACCAACATTAGTGTTTCATTGTTATAATTTTTATATATTGTCAAAATAGTGTAACTTTTTTATAGCATTCACATTTATCTAAGTGAGAAATTGCCTAAAACTTAAGAGTTGTCACTGTGCTTGGTAGGTTGGAAGAAGAAGCTTAACAGTGACAAAGATGCTGTCTTCAACAGAAACTGGTAATGAGTGATACCTGAATAATCTAGAAAATCCTGCATGCCTTCCCCTCAGCCTGTTGAAAGTATCCTCTGCCTTTCTTCATACCTCACACCTGGCCTTATTCTCCAGCATCCTCACTGCATTCTCATCATCAACCATAGTGATTGGCGTTGGCCCTGAGGGAAGGTTCTGGTAGAATGCTATGATTTATTTCCATAGGGCAAGTTTGCTGAATTTCTGTTATAGATTCCCAAGAGGGAAATAAGGCATAGCTGTGTTCTTGCTCCTTAACTTTTCTGGCTGTTTTGCCCTCTTGACTTAGGAGTCTGCTTCAGATTAAGATGAAGATGAAGAGTAGAAGTACATGGAACCCCACTCTTCTTAGACCCCCTGCCCCCCAATCATGAACACATACAGAAGAATTCATATGTGTGGTTCCTGAAAACCTATCAGGATGTTCATTGATGGAAGTGAGATCATTAGAGGTATAACCTTGATATTTAAAAAAGAATTAATTCCCAAACCTTTGTGCTTTGCCTGTTGCTGTAACAAATTACCTTGGACACACCTCACAGCTGATTTTGGCACACCAGTGCTGTACGTGTCTTGGAGCTATTGCTGCTGAACTGCTTTAAAAACATGGACAGTGGTATTTTGTTCTTTGTTTTAATAGACTACAGTGGGTTAGAGAGGAAATTCCTACACAATAGGCTACCTTTATCCCATTCCAATTACTTTATTCTGGTTAATAGGTCTATTCCATAGCTTTAACTTTAGTCTTTTTCTTGATTTCTTATATTCTAACAATGCAGGACTTCTAGTCTAGATGGAATAAAATGAAAAGGGGGAAAAAACTCTGGGTATACAGGAAGAGACTTCTCTCACAAAGCTTTTTTCCTCTTTAACTGTCTTTAATTTCTAAAATCTGGGATATATTTGTGTGTGTGTGTGTGTGTGTGTGTGTGTGTGTGTGTGTATATTTTGAGACGGAGTCTCACTCTGTTGCCCAGTCTGGAGTTCAGTGGCGCGATCTCGGCTCACTGCAGCCTCCACCTCCCGGGTTCAAGCAATTGTCCTGTCTTAGCCTCCTGAGTAGCTGGGATTACAGGCACACGCCATCACGCCTGGCTAGTTTTTTGTATCTTTAGTAGAGACAGGATTTCACCATATTGGCCAGGCTGGTCTTGAACTCCTGACCTCGTGATCCACCTGCCTCGGCCTCCCAAAGTGCTGGGATTACAGGCATGAGCCATCGCGCCTGGCCCATAATTCTTAATTTTCAAAATGACAGCCTGTCATTGCCTTTGTGTTAATAAACATTTGTTGTGCTTCTTGAATATTTTGTGGTATATAAAAGTTCTCATGTTCAGCCAGGCGCAGTGGCTCACACCTGTAATCCCAGCACTTTGGGAGGCTGAGGCGGGTGGATCACCTGAGGTTAGGAGTTCCAGACCAGCCTGACCAACATGGTGAAACCCCATCTCTACTAAATACAAAAAATTAGCCGGGCGTGGTGGCGTATGCCTGTAATCCCAGCTACTTGGGAGGCTGAGGCAGGAGAACCACTTGAACCTGGGAGGCAGAGGTTGCAGTGAGCCGAGATTGCACCATTGCACTCCAGCCTGGGCAACAAGAGCGAAACTTCGTCTCAAAAAAAGAAAAACGTTCTCATGTTCAGATTCTACTCATCTGTCAAAGGCCACCCCAAATGCTCTCTATCTTAGTCTATTTTGTGTTGTGTTTGTGTTCTATAACAGAACACCACATATAGGTAATTTACAAAGAAAAATTTATTTCTCACAGTTCCAGAGGATGGAAGTCCAATATTAAGGTACTAGCATCTAGCAAGGACTTTCTTGGCCTGTCATCCCATGGTGGAAGGTGAGAAGGCAAGAGAATGTGTGGACGAGAGAGGAAGGGGGCCAAAATCATCCTTTTGTCTGGAACGCATTCCTGATAACTAACCTGTCCCTGCGATAACAGCATTAATCCACTGATCATCTCTTAAAGGTTCTGCCGCTCAACACTGCTGCATTGGGCACTGAGTTTCTTCCTTTTTCTTAATATTCATGTCTTTTTTTTTTTTTTTTTTTTTTTTTTTCAAGAAAACACACAACAAATGTCAGAATATGAGATAGGGAAGTTCTCCTGGAACAGCATGTAGATTATTTTCTAGAGCACTTTAGTTAAATGGTACTTAATGATGATAATTCTTCTGAACACAATTCAGAATTTGAACCAATATTTGTTGTTTCAGGAAAGCAGAATTTCCTTTGAATGATGGATAAGAATGGTGAGGATCTTTATAATATAGAATAAATTGCTGAAAAGAAACTTTGAGGGAATATTCAAAGCACCCTCTTATTTTGAACCTTCCTTGATCATCTCTAATGTGACTGCTTTCTCAGAACTTCCATATCATTTGTCCCCTCTTTTGGAGTTCTTGCTGCTTTTTGTTTTTGTATTTGTTTTCACTTATTCAGTAATTATTCAGTGTCCACTGCATCCTAGGTAATATTTCAGCTGTCAAAAGTCAGATTTTGGCTGGGCATGGTGGCTCACTCCTGTAATCCCAACACTTTGGGAGGCCGAGGTGGTTGGATCACCTGAGGTCTGGAGTTCGAGACCAGCCTGACCAACATGACAAAACCCCGTTGCTACTAAATATAACAAAAAAAAAATTAGCTGGTCATGGTGGCACGTGCCTGTAATCCCAGCTACGTGGGAGGCTGAGGCAGGAGAATCGCTCAAACCCAGGAGGCAGAGGGAGACTATTTTTATAATGATACTAAGATGCCATTTCTGTTTTCACTGTGTTGACACTTGTACTGATGGTCCAAAAGCAGTAATAGGGAAAACTGCTGGGCACTTTAACGTAAATTGAGGCAGGGACTCCAAGTGTCACTGATAGTCATTATATTATTCGCTACCTCTCCACTTGCAGTTTTAAAAAAACAAAAAGGGCTGCTTTCACTTAAACAGACCCTGATGAAGCAGTAAAAATTAAAAAAAAAAATTGGCCTTTTGTCTTTTCATGAGGAAATGGGAAGTACATGAATTGCTTTTGCTGCACAAAGAGGTACAGTGCCTGTTTTGAGAAACAGCAATTGTGTAGTTTGAGTTGCAAAGCGAACTAGCTGCTTTTATTGTGAAATGCCATTTTTGCTTGAAAAAGTGGGTAGCAGACAATCTGCAGTTATTGAGACTTGGGTATTTGGTGGACGTTTTCTGGAAAATAAATGAGAGGAAATAACTGACAATTTATGACCAATGATAATATTTGTGCTTTCAAGCAAAAATCAAAATTTTGAAAAAATTTATCTGCTACAGTGAGCTTGACAGTTTCTCAATAGTTAACGACTTCTTTGATGAGATTGGTGACAATATAATGAATGAGTATTTGATATTATATAATTAAATGTGTCAGCATTTGGAAGATCCACATAATTTTGTGAACTAATATTTTCCAGCTCACCATTGCACCACGTTACAAAGTCATAGTGCATGGGTAAAAGATTCATTCAAAAGATAGACCAATGGATTTTAATGTAGTGATATGAAAAGTTCACTGATAAGAGTTATAGATTCTACATTATAACTTTTTTTTTTTTTTTTTTTTTTTTGAGATGGAGTCTTGCTCTGTCTCCCAGGCTGGAGTGCAGTGGCGCGATCTCAGCTCACTGCAACCTCTGCCTCCCAGGTTGAAGTGATTCTCCTACCTCAGCCTCCTGAGTAGCTGGGATTACAGGTGCCTGCCACCATGCCTGGCTAATTTTTGTATTTTTAGTAGAGATTGGGTTTCACGTGTTGGTCAGGCTGGTCTCGAACTCCTGACCTCGTGATCCGCCCGCATTGATCTCCTAAAGTGCTGGGATTACAGGCCTGAGCCACCACTCCCGGCCACAACTTTTTTTTTTTAAGAGACTCCCCCTTGCCTGGTTTTGGTGTTGTATCAAGGAAGAATGTCCACAGTGATCTGAAAAGGCTGCTGAGACACCCCACCTTTTTCCAACTGCATGTCTCTCTGAAAAAGGATTTGATTCATAGACTTCAACCAAAAAAACCACACAGTACAACAGATTGGATACAGGAGCAGGTATGAGAATCCATATTGTCTTCTCTGAAGCCAGAGTTAAAGCAACTTGCAAAAATGTAAAAGAATACCTCTTCTTACTAAATGTTTTTGTTTTCAGAAATCTTTTATTTTTAGTAAAAAATATTATTTACCTTAATATCTAGTCAGTTTATTATTAAAAATTTTAAATGAGTTAGGCCGGGCGCGGTGGCTCACGCCTGTAATCCCAGCACTTTGGGAAGTCGAGGCGGGCGGATCACGAGGTCAGGAGGTCGAGACCATCCTGGCTAACACAGCGAAATCCTGTCTCTACTAAAAATACAAAAAATCAGCCGGGCGTGGTGGTGGGTGCCTGTAGTCCCAGCTGCTCGGGAGGCTGAGGCAGGAGAATGGCGTGAACCTGGGAGGCGGAGGTTGCAGTGAGCCGATATCGCACCGCTGCACTCCAGCCTGGGCTACAGAGCGAGACTCCGTCTCAAAAAAAAAAAAAAAAAAATTTAAATGAGTTAAATATTTAAAAAATTTCACAGTATTAGTTTTGTTTGTTTGTTTGTTTGTTTGTTTTTTAAGATAGTGTCTCGCTCTGTTGCCCAGTTGGGAGTGCAGTGGTGTGAGGATAGCTCACTGCTGCCTTTAACTCCTGGGTTCAAATGATCTTCTTGCCTCAGTCTCTTGAATAACTAGAACATAGTAGCTGAAAGACATGGATGTCATCATCTATTTCTTTATATTTTTTGTAACATTTTAAAGCTATTGCCTAGTTTAATAATTATTTCAGTTTGTGTATGTAAGGACAATCAGGCATTTAAATTTATAAAACATGTTTGAAAATCTTTAAAAGTTACACTTACTGACTAGTTGCTTGTCTGTTGCACTAACAAAATTTATTATTCATGTTTCGGGAATACCCTCTTTAGGTTTTGTTTGTTTTTTTTTTCATAGTAAATTATCCCAGTACAAGTGTCTTTGTACAAAATTTTGATTTCTAAGTTTCTTTAAAAATATCAATGCCAGCTGGGCCCAGTGGCTCACACCTATAATCCCAGCACTTTGGGAGGTCGAAGAGGATGGCTGAGGAGGTTGGATCGTTTGAACTCAGGAGTTTGGGATCAGCCTGAGTGACATGGTGAAACCCCATCTCTGCTAAAAAATATGAAAATTAGGGCTGGGTGCAGTGGCTCATGCCTGTAATCCCAGCAGTTTGGGAGGCCGAGGTAGACGGATCACTTGAGGCCAGGAGTTTGAGACCAGCCTGGGCAACATGGTGAAACTCCGCCTCTACTAAATAAAAAAAAAAATTAGCCTGGCATGGGGGCAAGTACCTATAATCCCAGCTACTCGGGAGACTGAGGCAGGAGAATCTCTTGAACCCAGGAGCCGGAGGCTGCAGTGAGCTGAGATTGTGCCACTGCACTCCAGCCTGGGTGACAGTGAGACTGTCTCAAAAAAAAAAAAAAAAAAAAGCTGGGTGTGGTGGTGCACGCCTATAATCCCAGCTACTCTGATGGCTGAGGCAGGGAGAACCGCTTGAACCTGGGAGGTGGAGGCTGCAGTGACCTGAAATTGCACCACTGCACTCCATGATACCCTGTCTAAAAAAAAAAAAAAAAGAGAGAAAATCGGCGCCAGAACAAATCCTACACAAGCCCACTTGTGTCAGAAATTTAAAATAGTCAGACTCATAGAAGCAGAGAGTAGAATGGTGGTTGCCAGAGACTGGGGTGGTGGGAGAATCTGGAAGGTGTTGATCAAAGGGTATATAGTTTCAGTTATACAGGATGAGTAACTGCTAGAGAGCTGCTGTACAGCATAGTGCATATAGTTAACAATACTGTATTGTATATTTAAAAATTTGTTAAGAGAGTAGAGCTCATGTTAAATGTTCTTATCACAAACAGGAAAGGAAGAAACTTTTAGAGATGATGTTTATGTTTATGTTTATGGTGATGGTTTCACAGGGATATACTTACCTTTAAATTCATCAAAATTTATATATTAAATATGCACGAGTTCTTATAGGTTAATCATGTCGATTTAAAAAAAGAAATATCAGTGATTTCAATTTTAATATCCTAAAACTTTAAACATGCTTCATTGCCAGCTATTCTGTACTTGTTTAATTCCTGTCTTTCTTTCACCGCTTAAGTTTAAACTTCACTTTCTGTTGGAGGCTCTGCCTTCTACTAAAGCCCCCTTCTCCCCAACCTTCACAGAATAAAGTGCCTGTGCTCTGTATCCTTTTAAAACTCATTGTATCACTCTTGTAGGATCATAATTATTTGTTTCATGATTATTTGTTTGCTTGTCTTTTCTATACCATTTTACAGGGAGCATTTCAAGAGGAAGGTTTGATCTGCTCATCTTTCTGTCTCCAGCACCTTGCACATTTTAGGCATTTTAATGGATGCTTATTGAGTTAATAAAAGTGAAAACTTCACATGGTGTTTATTCAGTTTCAAATAAAGAATCCTCTGTAAATGGATTCAAACTTAGCTTTTTTACAGCAGTTTTTCTAATTCAGTGAACCCATCAGCAGGATGGATCTGTGCCTCAGGGAGCTGTTGAATCAGAGTGTGGCCTTTGTTGCTTTAAGTGACCAGAA
The DNA here is from genome assembly GCF_000001405.40 of Homo sapiens. NCBI lineage: Eukaryota > Metazoa > Chordata > Mammalia > Primates > Hominidae > Homo > Homo sapiens. The sequence continues at coordinate 46,469,421 of NC_000021.9, forward strand.
AGAAAAAACTTAAGAGGAGACTGAGATAAGTGCACTGTTGCTCCTGTCCTCCTGTAGGATCCAGGCTAAGCTGGAGAGGCCTCACTGGTGTGGAGCTCGATGACGTACATCTAATCTAATAGTTTGTTTGGGGCCCATGAGGGCATAATCCACTGATGGCCTCATCGCCATGCTGTGGGTCCACACTACCCTCAAGCTGAGGCTATGCTTCCTATAGCAGGAATACCAAGGCTCTTTCCCAGGAGTCCTGATGAGAACTTTGTCTCAAGGACTCCTCATTGGCCTGGCCGGAACTTTCTTAGTGCTGCCTTTAGTCTAAGACTTTTTCTGTCCCACCTGCCTTCCTTTCCTCTTCCCCTGGCAAACATCTACTGGTTCCCTCCCCATTTTCCCTCAAGGGCATTTTCCCACATAAATCTCCCTTTCACGTAGTGTGTCCTCAGTGAGCATTAGCCACGTGTGACTGCTTCTCTTATCATCAGGGCAGGTCAGGGGCCAGGATACCTGTTCCATCTTTTGAAAAAAAAGATAGAATTCAAGAGCTGCAGTTTTGTTTTTCAAATCACATATTTAATCTTTTAATGTATTATTTTGGCTGATGTGATATACATTTATTTAGTATAAAAATGAATTCAGGCCAGGTGCGGTGGCTCACGCCTGTAATTCCAGCTCTTTGGGAGGCCAAGGCAGGCGGATCACCTGAGGTCAGGAGTTCAAGACCAGCCTGGCCAACAGAGAGAAACCCCCATCTCTACTAAAAATACAAAAAATGGGCTGGGCACAGTAGCTCATGCCTGTAACCCCAGTACTTAGGGAGGCCAAGGCGGGCGGATCACCTGGGGTTGGGAGTTCGAGACCAGCCTGACCAACGTGGAGAAACCCCGTCTCTACTAAAAATACAATATTAGCCAGGCGTGGTGGCACATGCCTGTAATCCCAGCTACTCGGAACGCTGAGGCGGGAGAATCACTTGAACCCAGGAGGCGGAGGTTGCGGTGAGCCGAGATCGTGCCATTGCACTCCAGTCTGGGCAACAAGAGCGAAGCTCCGTCTCAAAAAAAAAAAGGGGGGGCCAGGCACGGTAGCTCACGCCTGTAATTCCAGCACTTTGGGAGGCCGAGGTGGGCGGATCACGAAGTCAGGAGTTGAAGACCAGCCTGACCAATATGGTGAAACCGTGTTTCTACTAAAAACAAAAAAATTAGGTGGGTGTGGTGGCGCATGCCTGTAATCCCAGCTACTCAGGAGGCTGAGTCAGGAGAATTGCTTGAACCTGGGAAATGGAGTGAGCAGAGATCACACCATTGCACTCCAGCCTGGACGACAGAGTGAGACTCTGTCTCAAAAAAAAAAAAAAAATTAGCCAGGCATGGTGGTGGGCACCTGTATTCCCAGCTACTCAGGAGGCTGAGGCAGGAGAATCGCTTGAACCCAGGAGGCGGAGGTTGCAGTGAGCCAAGATAATACCACTGCACTCCAGCCTGGGAAACGAGTGAAATTCTGTTTCAGAAAAAAAAAAAAAAAAAAGAATTCATATTATTTGGTCACTCTTCTATGTTATAACTGAAGAAAGGAAGGAAATGAATTAGGGTTAAGTTAATGGGAAAACTTTATTCTGCCAGTACATATTTTGTTTATTTAATCTCGCTCTGTTGCCCAGGCTGGAGTGCAGTAGCACTATCATAGCTCATTACAGCCTCAAACTCCTGGGCTAAGCTATCCTCCGCTTTAGCCTCCCAAGTAGTTAGGATTTCAGGTGCACTCTACCGTGCCTACTTTTAAAGTTTTTTTTTAGATTCAGAGTCTCACCACGTTGCCCAGGCTAGTCTTGAACTCCTGGTTTCAAGCGATCTTCCTGCCTTGGCCTCCCAAAGTCCTGGGTTTACAGGCATGAGCCACTGTGCCTGGCCTTATTTGTTTTTGTTTTTTAAGAGCAGTCTTAGGTTCACAGCAAAATTGAGAGAAAGGTACGGAACTATCCCATATTCCCCCACCCTTATACGTGTACAGCCTCCCGCATTATCAGCATCCCAGTAAATCTTTTAAAACTAATTTTTGCTGTGCAGTGAGCTTGCTTCTGGGTAGAATTAACATAATCCTTGTGGCTCAATCTTTACACCTTTAAATTAGCTGACATTTTCAGTATTGCACTGGTCTATTAAAAAGACTAGGAAGTTATACACTGCTTAGCAAAGAAAACTATTGTCAGTGAAGACACAACACTTAAAAATAGCTGTTACTTCTATTGTGTATTGATAGATTATCACTTAGACTAATGTACCCAAGGGTCTCCCTTCCCTTTTCACACAGGAAATGCATGGCCTCTGTTCTTAGGATTTCCTGGGTTCTTGAAGGCAGCAGCTAAAATTATAGCTGGGAGACAGTGATCATGCGGGGGTTTCCTTTCAGACTTTGAATTAATCAGCTATAAGGAAAGAATAGAAATCCTGTGTCTTCTTTCTACACTGAACTGTTCATAATTTAAGAGTACCATTTTGGAAATAGCAGACAAAGAGCTTTTACACTCTTTCAGATTTTAGAACTTTTTCTGCAGTATCTTTAGTAAAGAACCTTTAAATTAAGTCTCTGAAACAAAAGGACACAATTGTTGGTATGCTGAAGCCCTAACCCCAATGGATTATATTTGAAGACTGGACCTTAAGGAGATATTTAAGATCAAATGAGGTCAAGGGGGTGGGCCCTCATCCAATAGGACTGGTGTCCTTATAAGAAGAGGAGGAGACACCAGGGATATTTGTGCATAGAAAGGCCATGTGAAGACATAGGCAGCTGTCTGCAAGCCAAGGAGAGAGGCTTCACCAGAAATGAACCCTCTGGCACCTTGATCTTGAGCTTTCAGTCTCCAGAACTGTGAGAAAATAAATGTCTGTTGTTTAAGTCGCCCACTCTGGTATTCTGTTACGGCAGCCTGAACAGACGGACACTCAGTGTGTCATCCTGTTGTTTAACAACATTCAACAGACTGAGTGCCAGGAGGCTTACAGTCTAGCAGGGGCTGAAAGACATGTAAACAGTGGCAATATCATGAAATGTGTACAGAACCCAGTCAGCCCAAGGGGAGGGATCATCAGCACTGCGCAAGCTGGGCCAATAGAGGAAGTACAGTTTCCTTGAGCTTTGTTTTGAAAGCATGTGTGAAGAGGGTGGAGAAGGAGGAGCGGGGATGGACATGAAGACAAAGGGAGGTGAACCGAAGTTGAGTGGGCCAAGGAATTCCAGGCAGTGTTCCACAGGTAGAGGAGGAAAGGCAGGGGCTAACTTACAGCAGGGCTCACACATCCTAGTAAGGAATTTGGACTTGATTCTCTGGAGTCTAGACAAGCTGGTTGAAACAAACTCAAATTCCTCCCTGTAGCTGGTTGGGTGTTGTGGATGTGTGAGGTGACCAAGAGTAAGGCAGGAGGGGTGCTGGTACCTGTTGCCTCTAGAATGGCACTGTTTAGAACTTTCTGCTACGATGGGAAAGTTCTGTGGTGTCCAGCATGGTGGCCACCAGCCACATGTGGCTACTGAACACTTGAAATGTGGGTAGTGGGACGAGGGAACTGATTGTTCAATTTAATTTACTTTTAATTAATTAAAATTTAACCATGCATGGCTAATGGCTGCTGTACTGGACAACAGCAAAGTGTATGCTCTGCATGAAGGCTTCCTATTAACAAGAAATACCATGAAAATACATTTTATTCCTACCACTGCTCTCGACAAAGGAGAGAAAATGAGCAAGATGAAAATATGTGTACACATTCAAGAACTCAGTGAATCTTGTAAACAGATGTCAATTTCCTATTTTTAATTAAAGGCTATGGGGCAGGAGTTTGAGACTACCCTGGGCAACATAGGGAGACCCTGTCTCTACAAAGAAAAAAAAATTAGCAAGGTGTGTTGGTGCATGCCTGTAATCCCAACTATTTGATAGGCCGATGTGGGAGGATTGCTTGAGATTGAGGCTGCAGTGAACCGTGATTATGCCACTGCACTCCAGCCTGGGTGCCACAGTGAGACCATGTCTCAGGGAAAAAAAAAGGGGGGGGGGCCATGGCGGTGGTTTTTCTTGGGTGCTTTATTTATTTTTTATTTTATTTTATTTTGGAGACAGAGTCTTGCTCTGTTACCCAGGCTGGAGTGCAGTGGCGCAATCCCAGCTCACTGCAACCTCCGCCTCCTGGGTTCAAGAAATTCTCCTGCCTCAGCCTCCCAAATAGTTGGGATTACAGGCGTGTGCCACCACGCCCGGCTAATTTTTGTATTTTTAGTAAAGATGGGGTTTCACCATGTTGGCCAGGCTGGTCTCGAACTCCCGACTTCAAGTGATCCACCCACTTCGGCCTCCCAAAGTGCTGGAATTATAGGCGTGAACCACTGCGCCTGGCCAGGTGCTTTACTTTAAACAGGTCTTCTTTAATAAATGATGGAGCCAGCAGTACCCCCACACAGCCCCACCTTTTTAAAAAATGTATTAACAAAACATTTCTGCATAATCTCTTTTGTCTCTTTCTGTCTCCCTCTTTGATTTAGAAAGATTGTTCTGCAGTATGTGAAAAGTAGATTGGAGGAGTCTGAAATTGGGGGACAGAAAAGTTAGCTTGAAAAACCCATTGCAGTAATCCAGGGCAAGAGATTTTGCTGGTCTGGACAGAGCTGAGCCAATAGGATGGAGAGGGCAATCAGAAGTAGAGCCAGCAGGCTTCTGTGTGAAGTGCACAGTAAAGGAGGGTCTAGGGTGACTCTGGAGTTTCTGAAACACCTGTCTGGGAGATGATGGTGCTGCTCACGAAGACGTGGAACACAAAAGGAGTGTGAGGCTGCTCTAGGAGATCTGAGTGGTGGGACCCAGAGTGCATTTGGATATATGAGTCTAGTACTTTCTAGAAAGGGCTAGGCTAGTAATTTGGAAGTCATCAGCACATAGATAGTAATTGGAGTGAATATGATTACCCCATAAGGAGAAATGAATAATGCAAAGAGAGCCTAGGAAAAAACTCTGAGGAACCCAAATCCATACGGGAAAGGCAGAGAAGGGAGAGACTGCAGGGAAGACTGAGGAAGGAGACAGAACATGTGTGGGCATCTGTGCAGCTGAGGCAGGGAAATGTGTGTGGAGGATTTTCTGGGTCAGTATTCATGACCAATCATCAGGCAAAGATGACTGTACTTCCTCAAATCTCATTGAAATGGTTGAAGAGGTTTTTTTGTTTTTTGGTTTTTGTTTTCCTAAAGAGGTGAGATCTCACTGTGTTGCCTAGGCTGGTCTTGAACTCTTGGGCTTGGGCTCAAGTGATCATTTAGCCTCAGCCTCCCAAGTAGCTGGAACTATAGCTGCGCACCCCCACATCCTGCTAGGTTTTCAGAATTGAAAAGGAATTCATAGTCTAGGTTCTGGGAAATTGGAACGGTGGATCAGAGCAGTGAGGATTATCTGATTAGGGAAGATAGGGATGGAGCAGGTCTGCAGCAGATGTACAGTGCATCCTCTGAACAAAGTTGTGGAGGAGGATGGGAGGTGGTAATGAGGAAAGGATATGGTTTTCATCGGTTTTCCAGAGTCTGCTGATGTATTCCTGTAGAAGGTACCACCAGTTGTTTGGGGAAGTGGGCACTCAGCAGCCCTATGTCTGCCTCAACCAGAGACTCTTCTCCACTTAACACTCTTCCTAACTGTTCAGTTGAACAGAAGATGTGCAGCTGAAAGGTTGGAAAAACATTGAAGTGGATAATATCTAAGTTCTCCTTTCAGTTGCAAGGCTAGTCTAAGTTTTCTAATCATGAATGTTTAGTAAGAATTATTTCACCATGTGGCTTTAGCTCACCAAGTGATATTTAAAAACATTCTTCCATTAAATACCTGCTATTTTAAAAGGTTTATTACCTATTTATACACAAACTTGTTAGCCAAGAGCTATATTTTTATGGAAGAGTCTTGTTACCTTTCACTGACATTGTTATCTACCTGTATGTCCTGAATGCATGTTCAGGGTCTTAACTTCTGTTAGAAGGAATAATTTAAACAAGCTCATGAGTACTGTAGAAAATATGGCAGACATTCATATTGAGCAAGTACTCTCTGGTCCTTGGAAAGTGCAGTATAGTCAGCCACAGGCTTCAGTTTGAAAGTCTTTTAAGAGTTAGAAACTTCTGAATATGGAAGACTGCTTCTTGTTTGATTTTTCTCTAATTGTGAAATATTTCAAACATACCAAAAACTTGTGTGAGTCATGATATATGTACCCACGTACCTACCACCCAATTTTTAAAAAATGAAGATTTGGACACATTAGATTCATATTTGAACCATTATAGAGAGAGATGACTCCCATTCACTCTCTGATTCCATTTGTCATCTTCCCAACTTCTCTCCTGAATTTGGTATTTTATCATTTAATTGCATTTCCATATATCCTGAAACAATCGATAGTGTTTTTGCATATTTTAAAACTATGTAAATCATCTTTATAAATCCTTCTGAAACTTGCTTTTTACCTCAATATTATGTTTTAAAAATTATGATGATTGGCTGGGCGCAGTGGCTCACGCCTGTAATCCCAGCACTTCGGGAGGCCAAGGCGGGTGGATCACGAGGTCAGGAGATTGAGACCATCCTGGCTAACATGGTGAAACCCCATCTCTACTAAAAATACAAAAAAAAAAAAAAAAATTAGCCAGGCATGGTGGTGGGCACCTGTAGTCCCAGCTACTCGGGAGGCTGAGGCAGAATGGTGTGAACCCGGGAGGCGGAGCTTGCAGTGAGCTGAGATCACACCACTGCACTCCAGCCTAGGGGACTGATCAAGACTCCGTCTCAAAAAAAAAAAAAATTATGATGATTATGTTAATACATGTAGCTCTGGCTCAATCTGACTAACTGCCGTGTGGTATTATCTTATATGGTTATACCATGTTGTGGTAGTTTTTTTCTCCCAAGTGTATTTTTGAAACAAATAGAGGATGAGCAATCTACAGAGTTGGCATCAGCATGACTCCACAGTCCTCTTGGAGAAGAGTGCCCGAGGAAGGCGCAGGGCACTAGCCCAGAAGCACAGATAGAGACTAGCATGGGGAAGAGCTCAGGAAAAGGAGGGAAATGGAGAGAGCCATCAGACAGGGTAGTAAGTGTAGGAGTCAATGTGTGCTCAATATAGAGGAAGCAGATCTAGGGTGTTCAAGGCAGATTTGGGATGAATCTCACGTCTTCTAGTCATAGCATCACTCTATTTTTTTTTTTTTTTTTTGGAGACAGAGTCTCACTCTATTGCCCAGGCTGGAGTGGTGGAGTGGTACAATCTTGGCTCACTGCAACCTCCACGTCCTGGGTTCAAGTGATTCTCCAGTCTCAGCCTCCCCAGTAGCGAGATTACAGGTGTGTGCCACCATGCCAGGTTAATTTCTGTATTTTTTATTAGAGATGGGGTTTCACCATGTTGGCCACCATGGTCTCAAACTCCTGACCTCAAATGATCTGCCTGCCTTGGCCTTCCAAAGTGCTGAGATTACAGGCGTGAGCCACTGCAGCCAGCTCGTAGCATCGCTCTTAATCTGGAAGTTGACGTACCCCTGCTAGGCCGTGGATATGTAAAAAGGATCATTTAATTTCTCTGTGCATCTGTCTTCAAGTTTTACACTGGTCAGGTATGGATCACTCCTCGTTTTCTTGCCTCCTCCTGCTCTTCCTCTGTGTGGGCACCTCCAGTAGGACCGGTCCGATTGTTTGGGTAAATCTAGCAACATTGACTTAAGCTTACTCCTCCCATGGTAAGTCAAGGAAGCACGTGCCCTTTTTCCTAATAGAATATCAAAACTAAAGATTTATACGTATATATTTTTATCCAGGCGTGGTGGCTCACGTCTGTAATCCCAGCACTTTGGGAGGCTGAGGCAGGCAGATCAAGACCAGCCTGGTCAACATGGTGAAACCTTGTCTCTACTAAAAATACAAAAATTAACGGGGCGTGGTGGCAGGCGCCTGTAATCCCAGCTACTTGGGAGGCTGAGACAGGAGAATTGCTTGAACCCAGGAGGGTCAGGTTGCAGTGAGCTGAGATTGCGCCACTGCACTCCAGCCTGGGTGACAGGGTGAGACTCCGCCTAAAATAAAAAAAAAGATTTGTGTGTGTGTGTGTGTGTGTGTGTATTTCTTTTTTTTTTTTTTTCTTGAGTCAGAGTCTTGTCCTGTCGCCCAGGCTGGAGTACAGTGCCACTATCTCGGCTCACTGCAACCTCCGCCTCCCTGGTTCAAGTGATTCTCCTGCCTCAGCCTCCTGAGTAGCTGGGATTACAGGAACGCACCATCACACCCAGCTAATTTTTTTGTTTTGTTTTTTTTTTGGTAGAGGCAGGGTTTTGCCATGTTGGCCAGGCTGGTCACGAATTCCTGACCTCAGGTGATCCACCTGCCTTGGCCTCCCAAAGTGTTGGGATACAGGCGTGAGCCACCACGCCCGGCCATCTTTCACATTTAGATGCGTAATTCACCTGGAATTTAATTTCATGCGTGGTGTGAGGGAAGAGTGATTTCATTTCTATTGCAGTTGGGTAATCAGTTGACTCAGAACATTTGGAAGAGGCTATCCTTCCCCTGCTGCTTCGGACTGATTTCTGCTGTGTTGTTCTACTTGCTTATCTTAGCACCTGCTCCATTCTGTCTTCATATCTGGTAAAGTCTGCCCTTTTAATTTTATTTTGTTTTTCAAGCTTGATTTAGCTAATCTTGGCCCTTTGTATTTCCCTATATACTTTGGAATCAGCTTGTCAATTTCTATGCAAGAAACTTTCAAGAATTTTTTTTTTTTTTGAGAGGGAGTTTCGCTCTTGTTGCCCAGGCTGGAGTGCAATGGCGCGATCCCGGCTCACAGCAACCTCCGCCTCCTGGGTTCAAGCCATTCTCCTGCCTCAGCCTCCCGAGTAGCTGGGATTACAGGCATGTGCCACCATGCTTGGCTAATTTTGTATTTTTAGTAGAGATAGGGTTTCTCCATGTTGGTCAGGCTGGTCTCGAACTCCGGACCTCAGGTGATCTGCCTGCCTCGGCCTCCCAAAGTGCTGGGATTACAGGCGTGAGCCACCACGCCTGGCAAAACTTTCAAGAATTACTCAGGCTGACTCTTGTGATCCACTTGGAGAGAAATTACACTTCACAGTATTGAGTCTTCAGATTCATGAATGTGGTATATCCTTTCATTTCTTTAGGTCTTTAATTTATCTCAGTAATGTTTTTATAATGTTGTTAGTTTCTGGGTAGTGGTCTTGCACACCTTTCATTAAATTTATTCCTGGATTTGAGATACAGTATTTTTCAGTCCTAGAATTTATGTTTTTTTTTTTAAATTCACAATCCTGCTTTTTAATTCCCTAAACATATTGATTATGGTTATTCTAAAGTTCCATTTTCTATAGCTTTCTATTATTGTTTCTCATGGATTTTAGTCATAGTTTCTTGCTGCCATATGTGCCTAATTACTTCTGATCAAATGCCAGACATTGTCTATATAGTGATCATTTGTGACCACAAAGGGCTTACTTTTGCATCTGGTAGGTAGATAGGTTGGGAATAGATGCAGTCCAAGATCACTTTAATCTATATAGAGAGAAAGTGATTTGAAACTGGCTCCAGTCCTTATGAGTGCTGCTCTATTTTTAGTTCATACCCAAGGTGTGGTCCTTCTGAGTCCCAACAAACAACCTGGGATGCTTTCCAGGGCACCTCGTCCGTGATGAGCTCCTGCCTCTCTGAGTCTGTCCAAGTTCCACTCAGTTCAGCTACTTGGTGATTACTTTTTGACTTCACTTGGCCCTCAGTTCTTCACTTCTGTAATGTCTTCAGATTTAAAGAAAAACTTTAATGTGATCTTTTTAGTTGTTCCCATTGGAAGAGTTGGTCTGAGTGCTATAATTTTGTCAGTGCCATAAATGGAGTTCCTATGTGTGTGTATGTATTCAGTTTAATGAACATATTTTTCATATTTTATTAAAAACTGAGATAAAATATTTACTACACATTTAAAAAGCCCGCTTTTAATTACAAATGAATGAGACAGTGGACATTCAAACACTGCTGTGGAAGCATATCTATACTCTTCAGCGTTAAGCATAATAATTTGCTTATTTTTTTTTAAGGTCTCATTCTGCTATTCAAGCTGGAGTGCAGTGGTGCGATCATAGCTCACCGCAGCCTCGAACTCCTGGGCTCAAGCAATCTTCTCACCTCAGCCTCCCTAGTAGCTTAGGACTATAGGCATGTGCCACCACAGCCAGCTAATTGGTTTTTTTTCTTTTTTTGTAGAGACAGGGTCTCTTTATGTTGCCCAAGGTGGCTTCTAACTCTTGGGCTCAAGCAGTCCTCCCACCTTGGCCTCCCAAAGTGCTGGGATTACAGATGTGAGCCACCATGCTTGGCTGCATAAATAATTTAAATTGCAGTCAGATAGGCTCTACTTTTGTGTATTAGATCTGTATATTTAAGACCCCTGTGTTTGGAAACTTTAAGGCTTGGAAAGTGAAATCTCTACGTGCTTATATTAAGAACGACTGTTACCAGTGAATGGTGCCACCGTGCAAAATATTACTCTTCACAGATTTTCCTCACCTTTTGTTCTGTGTCACGAGCTTGGAGACTGCCTGTATTTTTTTTTTTTTTTGTGTGGCATCTGTTTTCAAGTTTTATTATGGTCAGGTATTGTATTAGTCTGTTCTCATGCTGCTAACAAACACGTAACCGAGACTTGGTAATTTATAAAGGAAAGAGGTTTAATGGACACACAGTTCCACATGGCTGGGGAGGCCTCACAATCATGGCAGAAGATGAAGAAAGCAAAGGGACGTCCTACGTGGTGGCAGGCAAGAGGGCGTGTGCAGGGGAACTGTCCTTTTATAAAACCATCAGATCTTGTGAGACTTACTATCCGGAGAACAGCATGGGGAAAAACCTGCCCCCGTGATTCAGTTACCTCCCACTGGGTCCCTCCCATGACACGTGGGGATTATTACAATTCAAAGTGAGATTTGAGTGGGGAGGACACAGAGCCAGACCATATCAGGTGTGGATCATCCCTCATTTTATTGTTTCCTCCTGCTCTGTGTCGGCACCTCCAGTAGGACCTGTCTAGTCGTGGCAGCTGTGGGCTTTCCCAGCTGCCATGGCACAGAGACCTTGCCTTGGGATCCTGGGTAAGCTTGTGTGGCCCAAGTTGGGACCTAGTGGACTCTTTGGACCCGTTCTTTGGCAGCAAGGGAAAGGCCAATACCTTTCCAAAGGAATAAACACTGGCAGCTGTGTCCAGCTCACTTGGGTCCAAGGTCTCTGGTGTGTATCTGATTTCTGGCTGGTGCCCACCTTGGAGGCGGTAAAAGTGACCTGACCAAAGGCAGACTGTACTGTACTGGATTGGAACCTGCCGGGCCCTTGGGGCTCCCAGCCATTGTGTCATGCCCTGTTGGGGTGCTTCTTCCTTAGCCACACTTGGTCCATTGTGGAGTCACCCAGCTGCTAACTGCCTGAAGTACTTCTTTGTCAGACACTCCTTTCAGACTCCGGAAAGCTGATTTGCTTGAGCCCAGAAGTTGGAGGCTGCAGTAAGCTATGCCACTGCACTCCAGCCTAGGTGGCAGAGCGAGACCCTGACTCTAAAACATAATAAAAGACCAAACAAGAAAAAGAACAGCACCATCATCCCCAAACACTCCTCATATTATCCCTTTGCAGTCTCCCGGTCCCCCAGCTGATCTATTCCCTATCCTTATGGGTTTATCTTTTCCGAAATGTCATATAAATGGAATCATATAGCATGTAACCTTTCGAGAATGGCTTTCTTCTTTCAGCGTAATGTATTTTGAAATTTATTCACACTTTTGCAAGTATCAATAGTCTGTTCCTCTTTATTGCTGAGTAGTTTTCCATAGTATGGTTACGTCACAGTCTCTTCATTCACTTGACATCTGGGTTGTTTCTAGTTTTTTGGTGATTAAGAATAAAGTGGCTATAAACAATTGTGTACAGGTTTTTATGTGAACACAAGTTTTTACTTCTCTAGGGTAGATAATCAAGTGGAATTGCTGGGTCGTCTGGTGAGTGTTTGCTTTACTGTATAAAGAACTTCCACACTGTTTTCCAGAGTGGCTATACCATTTTGCATGCCCATCAGCAATATATGAGTTTCTATTGCTTCACAGTCTTTGTCAGCACTTGACATTGTCAGTATTTTTAAAGCTTTAGCTGTTTGAATAGGCATATAGTGGTATCTCATTATGGTTTTGTGTTTCCTAACAGAAGGAAAATGATAACAGCGGAAATCAGTGAAACTGAAAGCAGAAAAAACAATAGGAAAAAATCAGTGGGGCCAGGTGCAGTGGCTCACACCTGTAATCCCAGCACTTTGGGAGGCTGAGACGGGTGGATCACTTGAGGTCAGGAGTTCTAGACCAGCCTGGCTAACATGGTGAAACCCCATCTCTACTAAAAATACAAAAATTAGCCAGGCGTGGTGGCGCATGCCTGTAATCCCAGCTATTCCAGAGGCTGAGGCAGGAGAATCACTTGAACCCAGGAGGCAGAGGTTGCAGTGAGCCAGTTGTGCCACTGCATTCCATCCTGGGTGACAGAGCAAAACTCCGTCTCAAAAAAACAAAAACAAAAACAAAAAACAGTAGAACCAATACCTGGTTCTTTGAAAAGATAATAAATTTGATAAACCTCTAACAAGACCGACAGTGAGAAAATACCAAAGACACAAATTACCAGTCAGGAATGAAAGAGGCCAATCTCTATAGACTGCACAGACATTAAAGCATGATAAGGGAGTACTATGAACAACTGTATCCATATCTGGTCATATGCCCAGTAGATGTTTCGGGCAACGATTGACCACATATATAACAGTGGCTCCATGAGATCATGATAAAGCTAAAAATTCTTACCACCTAGTGACCTTGTAGCCATTGTAACACAACACATTACTCACGTGTTTGTGGTGATGCTGGTGTAAACAAACCTGCTGTGCTGCCAGTCTTAAAAATCTAATCCATATAATTAGGTACTGTACATAATACTTGGTAATGATAAATGAATGTTACTGGTTTATGTATTTACTGTACAATTTATTGTTATTTTAGAGTATATTCCTATTATATTTTAAAAATGTTAACTGTCAAACAGCCTCAGGCAGACCCTTCGTGAGCTATTTGAGAAGGCTTTGTCATTATAGGAAGTGTCAAGCTTCCATGCATGTTATTACCCTTGTGCACTACTCATCTTTGTTCCTGTGACCTGTAGGGGTAGTTGAGTGCTTTTGAGAATGGGTTTTTAGAAATTGTGTTGCCGAGTGAAGGACTTGGTGATATTACTAGGGATTTGGCATCTGTGATCCTAAGTGAGATTCTTCTGCAGCAGTGGAGTTCAGCCAGAGCCATATTCCGTACCTCTGTGATGCAGATTAATTGCCTCTCCTACACACATGCACATTTGAAAATTACTGCCTTCTAAACCTTAAAAAGTTGTGCACAAGTTGAAATTTAATAAGTGAAATTGTACAGTTATATCCTGAACCTGATGAGGATTGTCACTGCAGCACTGAGCATGTTGGTGTGGGTGGTGGCTGGCTGTGGACCTGGGAGTGTGCAGTGATGGAGTGAGGGGGTGAACAAGGATGATGTACTTCCAAGGGGTACCCGGGTCAGTGCAGTGAATCAGGTGTGCTCATTGCATTGAGGAAGGGTTGGTTTTAAAAATGGAAGGCTTAGGGAAGAAAATAGTGATTTATAATATGATGCCATTCGGGTCAATTAAAAGTACACAGACACAAAGCAACATGCATTCTGCAGAATATATTCTAAAAGACACTATAAAAAAGTTTCTAAAAGACACTATAGAAAGAAGCTATAAGAAAATATGTCTAAAAGACACTAAATGCAAAAAAAAAAAAAGTCTGAAGAGATGGAACACAGTGGGGACACAGGGAATAAATAAATGGAAGGACAGGCAGATAAGCATGAGAGGCTTGGGAGGAGCCAAGTGAGCTCTTAAAGCAGAGGCTCTGTGCAGAGGGCAGGGCTTGGGCGCAGTGCAGGGTGGAGTAGGTGGGGAGGTTGTGGTAGGCTGGTGTGGACCAGAGCAGCTGCTTGGCCCACAGGCCGTGGCTCAGGCTCTTCTTCTGTAGGATGGCATATTAATGCCTACCCAGAGGCTTCCACTGAGGCTTAACTTAGATGTCAGATATTCAACGGTGTCAGTCTGTTCACACAACAAATCCTACAATAAAAAATACATCTAAAGGAAATACTCAATTATGTACTCAATAAATGACATCAGCCTGTGTCTTCTGATTCACAGCAGCCTTACTGCTTTGCTTGCTTGTTTTGAGAGAAGGGAGATCTTACAAAACACTAAAAACTCTACCATGTTCACCCAGAGGACAAGCTAATCATGAGAATTGTAATATGTATTTCTGGTCTAAATAAAGTCTTCACATCACACATCCCCTGTTAGAACTTCCAGGTATGTGTAGGAAACCAAATAGTGTGCTTACATTAAGAAGTGTTTTCATGATGGTGCATTTCCTACCTCATTCCTAGGTGGTTTAATTTGTTTTCAGGCTGTTTTTCCTTATGATAATTTACTGGAACAGCCGTCCTTTTTCCTCCTTTCCCAAGGACACCCCTTGGCCTGGGACGGCTTGTGTCCCATGGGTCCCTTATTGCAATACTTGTGAAACTTGAACCTGCACAGGAGTTACTGGAGGATCTTGATAAAGTGCGGATTTGGATTCTGTCAGTTTGGGATATGGCCTTAGAGTTTGCATTTTTGGCAAGCTCCCAGGGGATGGTGATCACAATTTTTAAAATTTGAAGTGTTATTTACACACAGTAAAATTCACCCTTACTCTTCTACAGTGGTACAGATTTTTGACAAACGCATATGCTCATGTAACCACCACTACACTCCCAACGTAGAACAGTTTCACCACCCTCAAAATTCTCTTGTCTTTTCCTCACTCCCAGCCCCTGGCAACCACTAGCTGTATCTGACGCTATGGTTGTATCTTTTCCAGAATGTCATAAAAGTTGAGTATTCAGTAGCCTTTTGAGTCTGGCTTCTTTCACTCAGCAGCATGCATGTGAGATCTATCCAAATTGCTGTGTGTATCAGTAGTTTGTTCCTTTTTTATTGCTGAGTGGTATTCCATTTTATGGGTCCATTATAGTTTATTTGTCCAGACACTTCATGGAAGGACATCAGTGTTTCCAGTTTTTCAATCATAAATTGATGTTTAATTTTAAAATTTTGGAATTGTAGAAGAAATGCAATTCTTTTTTCCATTGTTGTTTTAGGTGACATCACTCAAAAAGGATATGAAAAGAAAAGGGCAAAGCTGCTTGCACGTTATATACCGCTTATTCAAGGTAAGGTCAATACACTCAGGTGTTACATAGCAATTATATTGTTTCATAACATGTGATTTTTAAATTGTTTTTAGAGTTTAACATTTGTTAGCAATGTTAAACCAACTTTAAACACTGGTATATGTTGATTATTGATTGAGACAGGGTCTCGCTGTGTTGCCCAGGCTGGTCTTGAAAAATATGCCTCTAATATTAAATAATAAAATCCAAAGGCATAGATTATAATTTAAAGCTCTGGCTTGATACAGATCTCAGATCTCATTCCCAAAGAGGATTTATTTTATTTTTATGATTATGAACAACCTGGCACAATTCTTACTAGGGCTAGAGCATCTATTGTAAAGATGTCGGTTCTTCCCACATTAGATTGATTTGTAGATTCAGTGCATTCATCATTTCAATAGGTTTTGTGTGTGTGTGTGTGTGTGTAACTTAACGAGTTAGTTCTAAAATGTATATCCAAGTATAAAAGGTCAAGAGACCCAAAATATTTTCAAAAAAGAATGAGGTGAGAGGATTGGCCCAACCAGGATATGAAGAGTTATTATTAAAGCCGTTGTCACTAAGACAGACTGGACAGCTCAGACAAATGCATATGTGTGCGGACTTTGCACATGGGAATGGTGGTGTGGCAGGCATGGTGCTGGCATAGTTCTTTATCCATATATGAAACACATGACATTGGAGACAAAAATCGGTTCCAGATGTATTAGGCCTAAATGTGAAAGGTCTTTAAAGCCTTTAGAAAATCTTACAGGAAGATTGTTGCCATCTCAAGATAGGAAGGATTTTTTGATGTCACTAAAGGTACCAAAAAGCAGGAACCATAAAGGAAAGGATTGATTAATTGGACCACATTAAAATTAAGAACTTTTTTTCAAACGTCATCATAAAGAGATTGCAAAGACAAACTACAGAGTGTGAGAAGATAGTTGTAACACAAATAAGAAGTAGTATCCAGAGGCCAGGCGCGGTGGCTCACGCCTGTAATCCCAGCACTTTGGGAGGCTGAGGTGGGGGGATCATGAGGTCAGGAGTTCAAGACCAGCCTGGCCAACATAGGGAAGCCTTGTCTCTACTAAAAATATAAAAATTCGCCGGGCATGGTGGTGCGTACCTGTAGTTCCAGCTGCTCGGGAGGCTGAGACAGGAGAATCACTTGAACCTGGGAGGTGGAGGTTGCAGTGAGCCGAGATTGTGCCACTGCACTCCAGCCTGGGCGACAGAGTGGGACTTCATCTCAAAAAAAAAAAAAAAAAAAAAGAACTAAAGAACTAGTATCCAGAATGTACCGAGCAGTGCTGTCCAGTAGAACTTCTTGCAGTAACGGACATGTTCTCTGACTGCATTGTCCAGTATATGAAACACCAGCCATGTATGATGATTGCACATAAGAGGCAAGGTCTTACTCTGTTGCTCAGGCTGGTGCACAGTGGTGTGATCATAGCTCACTGCAGTCTCAAACTCCTGGGTTTGAGCAGTCCTCTCACTTCAGCCTCCTGAGTACATGGGATTACAGGTGTGCACCACCACGCCCAGCTTACTGATTGAGATGGGGTCTCGCTATGTTGCCCAGACTGGTCTTGAACTTCTGACCTCAAGCGAGTTTTCTGCCTCAGCCTTCCAAAGTGCTGGGATTACAGGTGTGAGCCACCACACCTTCCCTTAATTTAATTAGTTTAAACTTAATAGCCAGAAAGTCTCCCAACATGATAAGAAAAGTCTAGTAGAGAAATGGATGAAGATTCAAATAGGTTATTTCATAAGAGGAAATCCAAATAGCCAATGAGCAAATGTAAAGATGTTTAACCTCACTAGTAATCAGAGCAATGCACATTGTAACCACAGCCATCTGTCCTGTTGGAGAGGATTCAATCAGTAGGATGCAGGCAGCTAGTATTACATAGTAAAGTTGAAGAGGTGCAGCAGTTCTTCAGGTACATATTTGCCCTAGAGAAACTCCTATTTGTTTGCACCTTATTCTCTTGTACAAAAATGTTCATTATATCTGTAAACTGCCAAGAACTCAAATACCCATCAACAGAATTCATACAGCGGAAAGCTAAAGACCTACATGCATCAGCAAGAATGAATCTTGTAAACATCGTGAGGATGAAGGAAGCAATTACAAAGGCATATAGCCAATACAAGCTTAAAAAAAGACGCCAAACCGATCTGTTAATATTTAGAGAGCTGGTGTAGTGAGTCCAGAAAGAGAAGGAAATGGTTTTCACAGAAGCCAGCACACCATTTCCTCATGGAAGTTAAATTGGAGAGGGCCACAGGGACCCCTAAGGCACTGAGTGTTTTATTTCATAACCTATGTGGTGGTTACATTGATTGTTTCTTAATAATATTCTTAAACTGCATACATGCTTTGTATTGCCTATATTGGTATGATATATTTTATAACAGATCAACAACAACAAGAAGATTGACGAGGCTCTTTATATGCTGATATTTATTCACCCAAAATAAAAACAAACTCAGAGTAAAATTGGGATTGAAGGAAACTATTAAAATATCTCTAAAGCCCATTTGTCCAAAATCACCAGCAATCATCAAACTAAACAACCAGATACTGTAGCCATTTCCATTCCAAATGGGTAAACAGAAATGCTGGCCATGCCCATTCTTATTACACATTATTTGGGTGGTCACAGCTGATGCAGTGCGATGGAAAACAAAGCAGAATAAATAAATATTAGAGAACAAAAGATAATCATCTTTAAATATAGGTGATATTATTTTATACCTCAAAAACTCATGTGACTGCTCATGTAACTATTAGTAAGTGATTTTGGTTTGATATGAAGATAGAAGGCAAATATGCGGCTTTTCTCTAGCAATATTTCTGTTTTCAAATATGAAAAAATCTTATTCATAATGAAAACAAACTGTCAAATGCTTATTAATGCATTTGGTAAGAAAGACAGAACCTACGTTAGGATCGTAAAATCTATTTGAAAGAAATAACCAAGACCCTAATATATGAAGAAACATACCAGTTTCCTAACTGGAAAAACTTAATACATCCTATAAAACTGGCAGATCTCAAGTTAGTGTGTGAACATAATGTAGTCCAGTCTGAATACCAGGCCTGAGGTTTTCCTAAACCTAGGATTGGAAGTGACCCATTAGAAGAGGCAAAGTTCTGAGAGTAGCCCATCAATTTTTGAAAAAGAACACTGGTGATAAAGGACTGGCATTTGAGTTACTAAACCTGATTGTATATGCTTTATAGTCACAACAGGAGGATGCCAGTGTACAGAGTACACGACCCAGTCAGTGGAAGAAAAGAAGTCCAGAAGTGATTTGAGAGGATATGAAGGAGGAAGGGTTAATTTAATAGCTGGTACTATCCTTCTGCAGGCAAGAACCCTCTTCCTCCTCCCCACCATTAGTGAACATAAACTTCAGAATAATTAAAGTTCTAAATATGTTTTTAATTATAAAAACATACAATTCAGGAGACTATTTGAACACCCCTTTGAGTAGGAATTGTCTTCATAGGCAAGATAGGAGACCTGGGAGCTAGAACAGAAAAGATGGACAGGTGCGATAGGCTCCCTAGAAATGAGAACATTTCAGAATGACTGAGCTGCTACTCGCCAGGCCACAGCTCTGTATGTGTACACAGTTCAGGGTGTCCACAGCAGACAAGGAGTGAGGCTTCCTGGTCTTTTAGTGAGGGTCTTTAGTTGGGTAAAGTAGCAGAAATCCAAAGGAGAGGAAATGTGGATGGGCAATAAATATTAAATTATGTTCAACCTCAGTGGTAGATATGGAAATGCAAATTAAAGGGCACCATTTTTCTCTTATCACATTGGCAAAATTCTAGAACTTTTTATAACATCTAGTGCTGACAGAGAGTGGAGAAATGGCACTTTTCATACATTGCTTGTAGGAGTGTGAATTACTGTAACCTTTTTGGAAAGTTATCTCTTCATATCTGTTAAGTTAAAAATATATCTACTCCTTCATCCAATAATTTCACATTGGGTTTTGTATCTATCTTTGTTGAATAAATGAATCTATCTCAAAGAATAAAAGGATGCAT
Source organism: Homo sapiens (assembly GCF_000001405.40). NCBI lineage: Eukaryota > Metazoa > Chordata > Mammalia > Primates > Hominidae > Homo > Homo sapiens. The sequence goes on from NC_000021.9 coordinate 46,488,889, forward strand.
ATTTTGGAATACAAGTGTAAGGAAGTCCGTCTGTGTATATGTCACTTTACAGCATGCTTGTTTATCATCCATAAGGTGTAAGACTCTGTATTGTCCGTTGTGAACTTTAAAGTTGTTTTATCCAGTCACAAAAAGCCAAAAGCCAGTAGGGATTCTGCTCATTATGTATTTTGTACATATATATACACACACAGACACACACAAACACACGTGTGTGTGTGGGTGTGTGTGTGGATGTGTGTGTGGATGTATATGTACATGTGTATGCTCACATTTTGAAGGGCTAATACTGATTTCTGTAGAGAGTGTTCCCATTCTCCAGTGCTGTATAACTGACCACCCCAAAATGTACACAGTACTTGAACAACATCAGCAGCATCTGTTCTGCTCATAAATGTGCAGTGTAGGCCCAGCTCAAATGTTACCTTGTCCCTGTCCACAGAGCCAGAGCTGGGTGCTCAAGTCCTGGGCCAACATCCTGTGAGGGCTCCTCAGTCACAGCTGTGGCTGTTGGGGTGGGGAGACTCCTGCTGCCGAGCACCTGGCTCCCCACCCCTGCCTGTGTCTCCCTCTGTCCTCATGTGGCCCCTCCACTGGGGGGCTTAACACTCTAGACTTGGTGTGTGGTGTTGCACAGAGCCAGGTAGAGCCGTGTCGCCTTTCACGACTAGCCTTGGAAGTCACACAGCATCACTTCTGCCACACTGCGCTTGTTGGGGCAGTCACTGACCTGCCCAGGTTTGAGGCAGCGTGGACTCTGCCTCTTCAGGGAGTGGTAAGGGCTGGAGGAGCCAGCGGGACTGCAATTCCTGCTGGCCAATTTTATGAAACATTTTGAAACAAAGGCTAAAGCTAAATGCATATTTTTGTTGAAGCACAGCTGCAGGTTTTGCTTTGTGCTGTCTGCAAATGTCAGCAAATTGGCTTCAAATGATACCAGGGATTTTGTTCAGTGACTTGAACAACTGTTCCCCATTCCTTCGCTCACCGTAATGTGTCTTGAGGGCATCTGTGACCAGGGGACCACTGCCCAGAGAGTGGAGGTCCTGGTGAGGGAGTGTGGAGAGCAGCAGCGTGACCTTGATCTGCCCTGATTTGGAGGCGGAGCAAGTGGGTGGTGCGGCGAGGGCAGCTGGCCCGGCCTGAGCAGGTCCCAGCCTCTCAGCACTTTGGGCCCTGACGCCATCTTTCTAATGCCCCTCTCGCTCTTGTTTTCTCTGACTTTTCACTTTTTTCCTGTTTGTATCAGAGGGCTACTGGTGGACCCCAGTGGTGGTCTGGTGAGCTGTTTCTCACTCAGGGTTTACCGACACTGTAGAACAATGCTGGGGACGAACAGCACGGACCATTTCAGACTTGGAAACGTAATTCAGAGGTGGGCTTTGGGAGGGCTTTCTACCACGGCTCCCACCCCTGATGTGAGCTGCCATGTACTGTGCTGCCAAGGGTACAGGGCCAGCTGTTTGATCATCACCCTTCATGCGGATGGTGAATGAGAGGCAGGGCTGGGTGATGTGGGGAGAGGAGAGCACGGAAGTGGATGTTGCCCTTAACCCACAGCATTTATGCGTCTATCACTGACTTCCAGATTAAAGGCTCTTTGATAGAGGGTATGCAACAGATGAGAAATGTAAGCTGTTTTCAATGGACTTTTTCATAATTGGAAAAGCAAATTGTTCACATAAGGTATTCCCATAAAATTGTGTTTCAGGAATAGACCCATCTCTGCAAGCAGAGAATAGAATTCCTGGGCCCTCACAAACCACGGCCGCTGCACCCAAGCAGCAGAAGTCTCGGCCCACCGCCTCGAGGGATGAGCGCTTCCGGTCAGGTAGGGTCACAGCCTAGGCAGTGGGGAAGGTGGACGGGCCTGGAGCCCTTGGACTCTTGCCATGAAGTCTTCCAGTTATTTTTCCTTTGCCACAATATCTGCCAAAGAAATTATTTTCACATAAGCAGTAATGTACATCATCATATTTTTTTCAAGAAAAACATTTAACCTTCACGTAACCACAGTCTGTTTTAATGTATGGTGTAGCTTTAGTGGCACTTTCTTAGGGGATGCCTACAAAACTCTCTAGAGAAGTCTTCTTCTCACTCTTACTAGAATAATTTCTTTAAAACTTTTGTACACTTTTTACTTTGAAGTTGATACTAATAATTTTTGTGCTTTATGGAGCAGCTTTACTGCTAGGTGCAGGTGTTTTAGTATTTCTTTTTCTAATTTTGGAGATTTCCTTCCAATTAGATTTCTGCCACTCTGTTTGGCAGTGCTTTTATGAATATTTAAATTTGTCTCTGATGTTTTACTTGAATCAATAGAATGGCCATTGAAAAAAATTCACATTTTCTATTATAGTTTATATATTAATAACTTGAGCACGTTATCTATTTAATATTTTCACCACTGTGTGGTTGTATATTTTCTTCACATTTAAGCTCTTTTGACAGGCCTTTTTCAGAAAAAATTTTAATAGGGATAATGGTTGTTTTAAGAATACTGAAAACAAAGATTAAGATTTTAAATGTTTTTTCAACAGGGAGTGTAAAGAAATAGTCTAAGAAATATTCGAACAGATAATGTCTTACCAATTTGATACACATTTATAAAAAACTTTATCATGTGGCAAACAGCTTCTTCTCTGATTGTATAAATAATATATGCTTAGTGTTAAATATATAAAAAATATTATACCAAATTTAAGGACAAAGTTAAAAATCACCTGATACCCCTGAATCCTGAGATGGCCGCCCTCAGCATTTCACTGAGCACTGTTGTCCTCATGCCTGGATGCAGATGCACGCACACATGTGTACTTTCCATGAGAGTGGTCCTAGAAAAGGTCTCCTCCTTTCTGCCGCTCCTTATTTTCTACATGTCCCAGCTCTTCTCCCCAACCCTGTTCCCTGCTCATGGAAGTGATGTTAATAAACTGGTTTCTGCCCTTGTGAAGTTTATACTAGGTGTATTCTTTATCTTTTGAATACAGGTCTTTTATCATAAATATGATTTGCCAATATTTTCTCTCAGGCTGTGATTTGTCTTTGTGTTTCTTTAAAGTATCTTTTGAAGAGCAGAAGTTTTTAATCCTGATGAAGTCTAAGTTATCATTTTTTTAAATTGATAGTGCTTTTGTTCTTGTGTTTAAGATATCTTTGCCTAACCCAAGATTACAAAGATTCTCTCTTGTGTTTTCTTGTACAAGTTTTGTAGTTTTAGGTTTTTTAGTGCCATTTTAGTGCCCTTAAGTTTGTGATCTTTTTTTTTAGTTAATTTTAGTGTAAGTACAAGGTATGAATCAAAAGTTTACTTTTTTGCATGGAGGTAGTCAGCTGTTCCTGGGCCATTCCTTAAGCCTATGCTTTCTCCAGAGAATTCCCTTTGCACTTTTTTCTAAAAGCAGTTGCACATAAATGCGCGCATCTATTTCTGGACTCTCTGTTCTGTTCTATTGATCTATTCGTCTGTCTTTATGGCAAAACAGTGTTCTCTTGATGATCATACCTTAATAATAAGTGTTAAAATCAGTAGTGTTAGTCCTTCAACTTTGTTTCTTATCTGTGTTCTGTTGTATCTAATGTGTCTTTTTTCCTTCTTGCACCTTTAAGATTTTTCTCTTTATCACTGTTCTGTGGGCTCGATTATATCCTCTCTGAAATTCCTATATTGAAGCCCTAACCCCGGTGGGATGCTATTTGGAGTTTGGTCCTTTGGGAGGTAATTAGGTTTAGATGAGATCATGAGGGTGGGGCCCTCACGGTGGGATCGGTGCCCTTATAAGAAGAGGCATTGGCCAGGCGTGGTTGTTCACGCCTGTAATCCCAGCACTTTGGGAGGCTGAAGCAGGCGGAGACCAGCCTGGCCAACATGGCAAAACCCCATCTCTACTAAAAATACAAAAATTAGTCAGGTGTGATGACACATGCCCATAGTCCTAGGTATTCTGGAGACTGAGGCATGAGAATCGCTTGAACCGGTAGGTGGAGGTTGCAGTGAGCCAATATTGCCCCACTGCACTCCAGCCTGAGTGAGACTCTGTCTCAAAAAAAAAAGGAAGAAAAAAAAAAGAGGCACTAGAGCTTGCTGGCCCCCGCCCTGCCCCATCAACCTATGAGTACAATGGTTAGAAGGCAGATGTCTGTAAGCCAGGAAGAGAGCCCTCACCGGACACCAACCATGAGGCACCTTGATCTTGGACATACAGTCTCCAGTAAGAAAAATTTGTGTTGTTTAAGCCACTTAGTTTATGCTGTTTTGTTATGGCAACTGAGCAGACTAAGATGCTGGTGTTGAGTGATTTGATTATGATGCACGTGGGCTGGTTTTGTTTCTTGTGCTTGGGGTTTGTTGAGTATTTTTGGATCTGTTGATATACCCTATCAGGTTGATATTATCTATATTTTTAGTTCTAGGTTGTTTTTAATCTATACTTATTTTCCTTTTTTTCTAAGACAGCAATAATGTTTAGGGGAATCACAGTAACTTCCAAATCCATCACAAGGGTCTCAGTTTGTTTCTTGCTCTCTTTTCGTGAGTGCCTTTTTCCATGAGTGTTTTCAGTTAAGTCCTTGTGTGGAAATGCTTTTCGAACCTTGTATGTCTGATAATATTTTTATTAAATATTCATATTTAAATGATAATTTGGCTGGATATAAAATTCTAGGTTTAACACTTTTTGTCTTCAAAACTATTGCTTTTTTGTGCCTGGTGTTACTACTGAGTATTGTCAGTCTGTTTCTTGATCTTTCAAGGTGATTTACCTTTTTCTCTGGAAGCTTTTAGAATTGTTCTGTGTCTTTGATATCCATGAATTTCCTTTATCATATGTCTAGGTGTGAATTCTTCACCTTTCCTGAGTAGGAAAAGGTTTAACCTGGCCCTACAAGCCATTTAAATGTGAGATTTTTAAATGTTTTCAGACATTTGTTGGGGAAAATTGAAGCGTCTACAAAACTGGCCATCATTGTATTATAGCTCCCCTGGACCCATAGTCGAGCTCCAGAAATTCTGGGCCATCCATGCCCTGCCTTGGATTAATCTATACTCTACCTGCTTCCTCCCTTCCCATATGGTTTCATAGCAAATCTCGGATATGTTATTTCATTTAGATGTCATAATATTCTCGATCTCTGTCATTTTGATGTCGTAATAGTCTTGGTTTCTGTATCTGAAAAGATTGTATTTCTAAAAGATAATGCCATTTTCACAAAGTAATTAACAATAAATACTTCCTTAATAGCAAATATTCAGCCAATGTTCATATGGCTTTTGCTCGTATGGCTTCTAAGGAACAAGTTTATTTGGACCCAGGATTCAAATAAGAGCTACACATTGCAGTTGGTTGGTAAGTGTTTTCAGCCTCTATGAACCTTAGTTTGTAGGAGAAGCTGAGCTGTGTTTGTCTGATGGTTCCTCTTGGTGTCTCTGACATGCTTTTTAGGTCACTAGGTTTGATGAAAGTCAGGTTACAACGTTCAGCTGTTTACAAGACTGTCATGGGTGGCCCTGTGTTCCTCCACCAAGAGGCCTGTTGGGCCTGACTCTTGGCTGTTCACTGTGGTGCTTGAAAACCAGTGATTTTTCTCAGTTCTTAGATTGATTTCCTTTGGGCTGCAAAATGGTGAAATTTAGATTCTGACATTCCTTCTTCACTCAAAGGCCAGAATATTTCCGTAAAGAGAAACTTCTGTTATTTACAACTTGGTACAGGAAAGAAAGTCAAGATGAATATTTAATTCTTTCCATTTATTTACTAGTTTTCAGAACAATAGGTTGAGTCACTGGCCTCCTCCAATGGCAACCAATTGATTGCGTTTCCTCTTTTCCTTTTTCTTCTTTTCTTCTGTCAGTATCATATTTGATGTTTCAGTCCATTTTAGTATTTATTCTTACCGATATTCAGATTGTCCCATTCTTCGCCATTGGGAATCTCTTCAAATTGGCTCGAGTTGTTTGACCATTTCCTGGTTGGCTGTTAGGATAAGAAGTTCTAGGTTCATCCTGGGCATTTCTCCCCTGCTCCAGAATCTGCCATTTCTAAGGGTTTTTTTTAAGTGAGGATGGTGTTTCAAGACCACAGTCTGGGCACTAGGATGCTGATTGCTATTGGGCTGATTGTTGTTTGTAGACATTTTCACTGTACAGAGGTAAGACAGACTTTTAAAAGACAGGATACCACATTTGTTTGTAGTGACATAATCTATTCAGATTCAGAACTGCAGGGTCTGTACTTCATCTCTCTCTCTCCCTCCCTCCCTTCCCTCCATCCCTCCCTCTTTCTCTTTCGCTTTTTCTCTTCTCTTCTCTTCTCTTCTCTTCTCTTCTCTTCTCTTCTCTTCTCTTCTCTTCTCTTCTTTCTCTCTCTCTCTCTCTCTCTCTCTCTCTCTCTCTGTTTTTGAGATGGAGTTTCACTCTTCTTTCCCAGGCTGGAGTGCAATGGCGTGATCTCGGCTCACCACAATCTCTGCCTCCCGGGTTCAAACGATTTTCCTGCCTCAGCCTCTCAAGTAGCTGGGATTACAGGCATGCACCACCATGCCCGGCTAATTTTGTGTTTTTAGTAGAGACAGGGTTTCTCCATGTTGACCAGGCTGGTCTGGAACTCCCGACCTCAGGGGATCCGCTCACCTCGGCCTCCCAAAGTGCTGGGATTACAGGCATGAGCCACTGTGCCCATCCTCTCTCTCTCTTTCTTTTCTTCCTTCCTTCCCTTTCTTTCCTTCTTTTTCTCTTTTTCTTTCTTGGGTTCTCACTCTGTCACCCAGGCTGGAGGCAGTGGTACAGGCATAGCTTACTGCACCTTGGAACTCCTGGGCTCAAGTGATCCTCCAGCTTCAGCTTCCTGAGTAGCTGGGACCACAGGCGCATGCCACTGCACCTGCCTAATTAAACAAAAAAAATTGGGCCAGGTGCGGTGGCTTACACCTATAATCCCAGCACTTACAGAGGCCAAGGCGGGCGGATCACCATGTCAGGAGTTCAAGACCAGCTTGGCCAACATAGTGAAACCCCATCTGTACTAAAAATATAAAAATTAGCCGGGCGTGGTGGGGGGTGCCTGTAATCCCAGCTCCTCGGGAGGCTGAGGCAGGAGAATTGTCTGAACCCGGGAGGCGGAGATTGCAGTGAGCTGAGATCACGCCATTGCATTCTAGCCTGGCGACAGATCGAGACTCCATCTCAAAAAAAAAAATTTTTTTTTCAGAAATGTGGTCTTGCTGTGGTGCACAGGCTGGTCCTGGCCTCAAACGATCCTCCTGCCTCAGCCTCCTAGAGCGCTGGGATTACAGGCATGAGCCACTGTGTCCAGCCTACCTCTTTCATCTACATTTGTATCTCCTCTCCCTCATGAGTGTCCAAGCTCTAGCTATGGTAGAATCAGACTATTAAGTGCTTTTCATTTGCCATATCCCACAGGACTCACGAAGAATCTATATGACAATGCCTTCACTGCTATCAACAATATGAGAGAGTTTAAAAGTTTTTGTTCAGTTATTTTTGTCCTTATTAGATATTTCTGGAAGTAGAGGTTGACCAGTCTAACTTCAGTGTTTTAAAGTCAGCTGCAATAGTTTAAACCAGGGGTGTCCAATCTTTTGGCTACCTTGGGCCACGTTGGAAGAAGAATAATTATCCTGGGCCACACATAAAATACACTAACACTAACGATAGCTGATAAGCTAAAAAAAATTGCAAAAAAATCTCATAATGTTTTAAGAAATTTTACGAATTTGTATTAGGCTGCATTCAAAGCCCTCCTGAGCCATATGAGGCCCATGGGCCACGGGTTGAACAAGCATGGTTTAAACCAACAACTAGATACACATTTAGGCTCATTTGTTTCACTTTATTTTCAATTTTGGGGATTTCTCTTTTATTCAGTTTTGATTTATAACTAAGGAAATATTTACAAGATTCCAAAGTTAGATCTACAAACAAAGAAATATTTAAAGAAATCTAGGACCAACATGTGAGGATAGACAGAGAGAGCTTCTATTCCTTTTACCCCCACTGAAAACAAACAAAAACATGAAACTTAATTTGTTACTTTATAAACAGTCTTGTAAAAAGTATTTTTACTGCTGTCCTTCCTGTGTAGATGTCCACACTGAAGCCGTGCAAGCAGCTTTGGCCAAATACAAAGAGAGGAAGATGCCTATGCCTTCGAAGAGACGTTCTGTCCTTGTGCATTCGTCTGTGGAAACCTACACCCCTCCAGGTATTGATAAACAATGTCAAGTGTGGCTTTTTTTTGAGTGTTTCACAGGCCTGATGTTATCCTATTTACTTCCCATTGAGTTGGAATATCCGTCTGGCCTGTAGTATAGATTGGACGCATTTGGAGATTAAAAATGTTTGCATATGCTCGTATTCCTTACCTGAAAATCTATGGTGTACATAGTATTCTTACCCAAATGGGTACTTGCTTTCTATAAGACTTTTTGTGTGGATCTTAATTTCTTTTACTAAGATGCTATTTATGTCTTTTAGTAAAGAGAAGAACCTAAAGCACTAAGAGGAGCCTAAAATAAGCACTAAGCTAAAGCTTCCTGAATTAGGAATTTTACAGTTATTGTCATCTTATTACCTATAACTTAACAGGTTGTAACCAGGACTTATATGCAACAGTATAAGACTATTTGGAAAGTTTTGCGGTTGATTTTGTTGTTGTTTTATTGTTGGTACCATTAGAAATGAAAACTTTTATATGAGGTTTCTCTCTAGCAATAATGTATTTTAGTCTTCCTGTTAAACTGTACAAGATGTCGATAGTGTCTAATGACTTCACATTCATGAACTTGCATTGTTGTCATATATTTAAAGTATCAAAAATAGTGACACCCATTTTTGGTTTGAGGTATTTGGAGATACTACACAATAAAACCAAACACACCAGATTCGTAAGATGATTTAGTGGTTTTGGTAACACTTTCTTGCTTAAAAGAAGTTTATTGTTGAAAAAAATCTTAGAAATGGCTGTCAAATTATTGTTTTTGCTAAATATAGCTATAGACACTATCCAATTTTAAAATAATGTTTTAATAATTGTAAAACCCATAATGAAACACACAGTCATGCTGACTTGAAGAAACCTTAATGTACAGTTAATTTTGTTGTCTGAAGCAATTTTCTCGGAGAAGGAATTGTTTTTAGGGCTAGTTCACATGACTCCCCTGAAAGGATGCATGTAGACAGGGCTGCGGTTCTCCCATGGCCACCATGTTGTTGCTGGGGCCATGCACAGGCCAGGATGCCTTCTCACTGCCTCCAAGATGTAGGGCCGGGCACAGGCTCTCCCCTGGGTGATGCTGACTGATGTGTGGATATGGTGTCCGACTCTGTGGACATGCAGTGCAGCACTGAATATTCACAGAACACCCCCACTGAGGTATATGCTGAAGCCGTTTAGGAGATCAGAGGCTGTCTTCACTGAGTGTGTCTGGTACCCTGTGGCTGAGTTCTCTCTGGGGAGCTGGGGGCTCATGGAATCATTTTCCCCACAGTAGGGCTTCTTGCATGCCCTTCTAGATTGAGGGTGACCTTTGAGCTGACTGCGTGGCTTTGGGCAGAGCTGTGCCAGGTGTACAGAAGCATGCTGCACACAGGTCTGGGAGGCTCCAGTGTGAGTGGGAACTCCGTCCTCCTCTTGACTCATCCCGATATCATGCCTGTCATCGTTATTTTAACCACAGACACGTCGTCTGCCTCAGAAGATGAGGGCTCTTTACGGCGACCCGGGCGACTCACCTCCACTCCGCTCCAGAGCCATTCCAGCGTCGAGCCCTGGCTCGACCGGGTCATTCAGGGCTCGTCCACCTCATCCTCTGCATCCTCCACCTCATCTCACCCGGGAGGGAGACCCACCACTGCTCCCAGTGCTGCAGCCACGCCGGGGGCCGCCGCTACCACTGCACTCGCAGGCCTCGAGGCCCACACCCACATAGGTCAGTAATAAGCTGCTGCGGCCCCTGTGCCAGCAGAGCGGGGTCAGGAGTGTCCAGGACAGAGGAGCAGATGGAGGGCACCTGAGCCAGGCGCCACCCTGCAGACTTAGCTGCAGGCCTGAGTGCTCTCCAAGTGACTGAGGTCACACAACCCAGATAACCCATACTGGCTTATCTGCCTGAGACATTAAATTGATTTTGAGCTTTTAATAATTGCACTTGAAAGAAATGGGCTAATATTTGGTTAATTCATCATTCAGATTAAATCCCTAATAACCTTTTGAACAATACAGCTCAGTTGCAAATTTTTTCCCCCATCAAGACCTACGTATTTTTCATCTGGGAAATGTCCTTTTGGTAACAAAAGTAGTTGTTGATACTTCTTTAATTTGGCAGTCCTAGTCCTTTGGGGCATGGGGCATTTCTCATAGTCCCCCAGAAGGGTGTGGTGTTTCTCAGTGTCATAACACCTTCCTGCTCTTGAGGGGAAGCTGGTGCATGCAGTAGGTGCAGGGGTAGATGGTCAGCACACATCCATACCTGCTGGTGGCTGTGATCATCACCCTTGACCTGGCCGCCTCTCTGTTGTCTGTGCCTTTCCTCTTGGCTATGTGTTCACAGCTGCAGGCCCATTGGTTGTCTCTGTACCTGGCTGGAATTCTGAGGTTGGGGTAGAGGGCTTTCGCTCCTCCAGATACCAGGTTAGACAGCCTTTGGCCTGAAAAGGTGTCAGTCAGAGCTAATCATATGATGCATGGATCTTTCCCAAATCATGGAATCCTTTAAATTACATTCATCTTAGAGATGAAAAAAGTGTAAACCTTTCATCCTTTGAAATTCTATTTTTTAACTAAAACAGCAGCATAGTTAGCTGTATGTAGCTGGCATGTGAAACCCACATACACTCTTGCACAAGTACCTTAAAATACAATCAGTATTGTTGAAGACTCATCTTAATCCCCTCCTTTTTTTCCCAGATGAGGAAGGAAGAAAAAAAAGTCCAGCGATTGTAACTTGCTTGAGATCAGACAGCAGCCTTAAGTGGTGAAGCCAGGGCTGATACCAGTTTTCTTGATTCCTATTCATTTTCTTTGCTTTTTGTTGCTTTTCTGCCAAAACTGAAAGGTGACACCTGTGACACGCTGGTGTTTGTGCTGGGGTCCCCATGGGTGCCGAGCTCTTTTTTGTAAGACCTCGGTCATTTGGCTGGACTGGGGGCAAGTTGGGTATGTTGGGTGGCCCACAGCTTCTGTCTCATCATCCTCTGTAGTGTGCATCACTGTTGCTCTTCATGTTTTTGTTTGTTTGAGTCAGCACATCTCTTGTGTTTCCATTGAACATGTGTCCTTCTTCTGAGGCGTCCGTCTCAGATGAAAGCTCACAGTGCCCTGCTCTGTCTCCACACTGCTTCCAGCTCATAAAGGAACTGCCAAGACTACAAGGGTAGCAGCAGGCAGCATTTTCCACAGAGAAAGTTTCTCTTAGGAAAACAGCCTGCTCAGATTGTTTCTGTAGCTTTCCTGGGTGTTCCATGGCCAGAGGCTGCTGCCCACCTTTCCTCAAGGTGGTGTACAGTCCATATCTTGAAAACAGCTTTTGCACTGTTGTTTGCCTTCTCTGTTCATCGTTGGTGATTTAACTTTGTAGAAATACATAGTTAACTCCAATTCTGAGGCAGGGGCAGGAAAACAGTAGTTTTAAATGTTCTGTTACCTCATTTCTTCTCCCAGAAGCTCCTTTCTAGGTGAGATGGTGCAGGAGAGCAAACAAAACATTTGTAGTTTGAGTTTATTAGCCATTGCTGAGTCATCTCAACACTGTTTCCGGGTGGGTTAGAAATAAAAGCTTATTCAGCATGAAAAATTAGCCACAGTTCAGAATGTTTAACCGTACAGCCCTCAACTTTCCAGTGATTGTGGGGTGTCTTTAAGCAAAGCATTGAACTCTAATGTGTGTTTGAATTAGATGTTTTCATTCTCTGAAAAGGACTTGGCTGCAATTATTTATAATGTAGGTTTATTACCTATGTTGGTGGAAGACAGCTCCTGACTCCTGCAGATGCAGCTGTAATCATCTCTTCCTTTCTTGTTAGTCCTAGCATCAACATTTTGTGATCAATTCTAATACATTTAAAAAAAATTCTTAACTTGGACTTGATTTAATACTTTGCTTACAGGATTGCAATTTTCTACAGATTGTAGCTACCCACATCCTAAATGTTGGACATAGTTAATTTGAATTTCTAAATCTCAAAAATACTCAACTTCCCTCTTATGACAGAAATCATCCTTTGTTTTAGTTTCTAACACTAGATGTGTCTTCAATTTAAACTAAGGAAAGAAACATGAAAAGAGGAAGAATATATTAAGTAAAAAATTCGAGGTAGAACATATCAGGTAAAGATAATTTTTAAAAATATATCACTTTCAGTTTTGGATTAAGGAAATCAAATACATTAAGCCTTTTTTATACAAATGTAAATACCTATTTTTAAAAGCAGTACTTTTAATTATAGTAGCTTCTTTTAATTATAGTAGCTTATTTTTATTTTGAATGTAGTTTATGTTTATTTTTATGCAGCTTTTTTTTTTATTTTTCCACCTAGAGACAGGGTCTTGCTCTGTCACCCACGCTGGAGTACAGTGGCATGATCATAGGTCACTGCAGCCTTGAACTCCTGGGCTTAAGAAATTCTCCCACCTTAGCCTCCTGAGCAGCTGGGACTATAGGCAAATGCCAGCATGCCTAGCTAATTTTTAAAAATTTTTTGGAAAGATGGAGTTTTTACTGTGTTGCCCAGACTGGGCTTGAACTCCTGGGCTCAAGTGATCCTCATGCCTTGGCCTTTCAAAATGTTAGGATTATAGGAATGAGCCACTGCTCCCAGCCATTATATAGCTGTTTTAAAAAACTACTTGTAGTACATGTATGTATACCATGTATACCTTTTTTTCCATATATACTTTTAAAATCATTTATTCTTTTTGCTAGATTTGGAAGAGTGGGGAAATTTCTTTTTAAACTAAAAGAACCTCCTGATAGACATACTTTAAAATGCTAATTTGATCAGCATCAGGCTTTTTCAAGGGTTGTGAAAAATCTTAACGGTTTAGATTTTTTCAAAAGGTATATTCTGCTATGCAGACAGTGAGTTTGTGCTTTCATATACTTCAGCTTTCTACAAACCTAGTAAAAAGTTACTGCTTTACATTGTACCTAGGAGTACCACAGTGATACTAACAGGTACCTTCATTAAAATATTAAACATTACCAGTTGTCTCTACCTAACATAGACTAGTGTTTATTTATTTATTTTTTTGGAGATAAGATCTCACTCTGTGGCCCGGGCTAGAGTGCAGCGGTATGGTCCTAGCTCACTGTAACCTGGAACTTCTGGGCTCCAGTGGTCCTTTCACCTCAGCCTCCTAAGTAGCTGGGACCACAGGTGTCCACCACCATGCCCAGCTAATTTTTTTTTTTAAGAGATGGGAGCTCACTATGTTGCCCAGGCTGATCTCAAATTCCTGGGCTCAAGTGATCCTCCTGCCTCAGCCTCCCAAAGTGCTGGGATTATAAGTGTGAGCCACTGCACAGCTAGTGTTGATTTTTTTTTTTTTTTTTTTTTTTTTTTTGTGACAGGGTCTCACTCTGTCCCCCAGGCTGGAGTGCAGTGGTGCAATCTTGGCTCACTGCAACCTCCACCTCCCGGGTTCAAGCGATTCTCCTGCCTCAGCCTCCCGAGTAGCTGGGATTACAGGCATGCACCACCACGCCTGGATAATTTTTGTATTTTTAGTAGAGACAGGGTTTCACCGTGTTGGCCAGGCCATTCTCGAACTCCTGACCTCAGCTGATCTGCCCGCCTTGACCTTCCAAATTGCTGGGATTACAGGTGTGAGCTACCATGTTGGCCCCTATGTTGATTCTTATAAATGGGCGAGCATCTGTGTATTCATTGTTGTGGTAGAACACAATTTCTATAGTCATATAGACACAGTGCCTTTCCTAGTGGTAGACCCAATTATAACCATAATTCCTATAGGAACTTACAGTCAGCCAGCATTCTGAACAGATAGATGGACTGTACCATGGAAATAAAACACAAAAATGTACATTCAGACAATGGAAGGAGTGACTTTTACATATGTTCCAGATCTAATGTCTGTTTTTAAATGTTACACCAATTCTACTTTAAGAACTTGATTGTGGCCAGGCGCGGTGGATCACACCTGTAATCCCAGCACTTCAGGAGGCCGAGGTGGTTGGATCACTTGAGTCCAGGAGTTCAAGACCAGCTTGGCCAATATGGTGAAAACCCGTCTCTACTAAAAATACAAAAATTGGCTGGGTGTGGTGGCACATGCCTGTAATCCCAGCTACTTGGGGGACTGAGACAGGAGAATTGCTTGAACTCAGGAGGCAGAGGTTGCAGTGAGCCAAGATTGTGCCACTGCACTCCAGTCTGGGCAGTGATAAAGTGAGACTCCATCTCAAAAAAAAAAAAAAAAAAGGAACTTGATTGTGGTCTCTTAGTTTTGCAGCTGTTTTAACTGGCAGTGGGGGAAGTTTTAATTTCTGTAGTTTTATTCTTTTAGGACTGCAAAGGTTTGGTGTCCAACATACTTTTTTGGGGGTTGTAGTAGTTTGTATGATCCTGGCTGTTTTTTTCATAATGTAACAAAAAAATGTACCAGTGACAATTGATTTCAAATTTGTTTCTGCTTCCTTGAGGGAATTTCTTCCTTCCTTCCTTCCTTCCTTCCTTCCTTCCTTCCTTCCTTTCTTTCTTTCTTTCTTTCTTTCCTTTCTTTCTTTCTTTTTCTTTCTTTCTTTTTCTTTCTTTCTTTCTTTTCTTTCTTTCTTCTTTCTCTTTCCTTCCTTCCTTCCTTCTTTCTTTCTTTTTTCTTTTTGAGAGAGAGTGTCGCTCTGTTGCCCAAGTTAGAGTGCAGTGGTGCAATCTCAGCTCACTGCAACCTCCGCCTCCTGGGTTCAAGTGATTCTCCTGCCTCAGCCTCCCCAGTAGCTGGGATTACAGGCATGTGCCACGACGCCCGGCTGATTTTTGTATTTTTAGTAGAGACGGGGTTTCGCCATGTTGGCCAGGCTGGTCTCGAACCCCTGACCTCAGGTGATCTGCCTATGTCAGCCTCCCCAAGTGCAGGGATTACAGGTGTCAGCCACCATGCCCAGCCCCTTGAGGGAATTTCTAACCAAAATCTCATCAGGCCATTGTGACAGGCAGGTTTACTCTGTGCCTGCCTCTGTGCTGAAGATGGTGGTTCTGAGTCTGGATCCCTTTGAGAATTGAGCCACCCACATGCACGCAGATGTCTGCATAACGTGTCTGGGAGTTCATAGGGTCCCAGTATGCCTTTGGTCAGCCAAGAAAACAAATTAATGAAAATACCACACTCTCCCCACTTAGAACTCAGCTAGTGGAGCTTTAGACTAACGGGGTTTCAAGAGCAGCTTAATACTCATTTGACTTAACAGCCACTTTCATTTTGGGTGTGTTTTTCAAAAGCAGATCTGCATTCTGCCCCTCCTGATGTCACCACGGGCCTCGTGGAGCATTCGTACTTTGAGCGTCCACAGGTGGCTTCTGTGAGAAGTGTTCCTCGGGGGTGCAGCGGGAGCATGCTGGAAACAGCAGATGGTGAGCCTGCCTCTCTTTCTCCTCGTGAAATAGCAGAACACAGGTTTTGTCTTTGGGTATTGAACACAGCTTTAATGTATTCACTGTAGCAAACCCAAGCCAAACGTCAGTTTTAATCCATGCAGATAAATAGAAACCAGTGTGTGCAGTTAATGTTATAGAAAGCATCATGTGGAGAAATAATTGGAAATATCAATGGAATTGGTCAGAGGGGAAACGAGGAGAGTGGGGAGGGAAAAGACTTCCAAATTTAGATAGGATGCAAAGGGCGTTTCGATCTGCAATATAGTAGGGAAATGAGAAGCTGTGGGAAGTTTCTTTATTTAGATTCAATGTGGCAGACAGAATGACTTAGTCAGTGCGAGTGCACACACCCACCTATGACAGAACAGCCCCCTACACTCTCCATCTTCAGCAGACTGTGAAATCGGTGCAACAGCAATCATGGTTTCCCATGTGCAGGCTCAGAGATGTCAGTGTAACTTTCATAATGTCCTCATTTACACCATTTCTTTTTGAAACAGTCTTCAATGTCTTTTATCAAAATCATGTCAATTTTTTTCCCAAAATAATAATTTAAATAAAAATTAAGAGGAGCTCAGAGCTAGGGCCTATCATATATGTTGGTACTCCCAAACAGAGTGTCAGATTTTGTTGAGGGCTTTCATCTCCTTGTCCAGAGGCAGAAGAAAAATACTGAATCAACATGAAGCAGTCTGTACATTGGCTAGACATGTATTTAATTCAATTTATTACTCTTTATATTTAAAAAAATTAAGAGCTTAATTAAAGGGTAATTGACATAATGAATTGCACATATTTAAAGTGTACAGTTTCGGCTGGGCGCGGTGGCTCACACCTGTAATCCCAGCACTTTGGGAGGCTGAGGCGGGCAGATCACTAGGTCAGGAGATCGAGACCATCCTGGCTAACGTGGTGAAACCCCATCTCTACTAAAAATACAAAAAAATTAGCCGAGTGTGGTGGCGGGCGTCTATAGTCCCAGCTACTCGGGAGACTGAGGCAGGAGAATCGCTTGAACCCGAGAGGCGGAGGTTGCAGTGAGCCAAGATTGTGTCACTTCACTCCAGCCTGGGCGATAGAGTGAGACTCCTTTCTCAAAAGTTTTAAGACATTTGTACAGCTGTGGAAAGCATCACTACAATCAAGATAGTGACCATATCCAGCACGCCCAAAAGTGTCCTTGTGTTCCTTGGTCCTCCTCTCTTCGGATCCTTCTGGCTTTCCCCATACACTTCAGGCAGCCACCGATTTACTTTCTGTCACTATAGATTAGATTGCATTTTCTAGAATTTTATATAAAAGGAATCATACAGCGTTTACGTTTATGGTCTGCCTTCTACCACTCTCCATAATTATTTTGAGATTCATTCATGTTCTGTATCAATAGTTTACTCCTTCTCATTGAGTAATATTTCATTAAATGGATGCACCACAATTTGGCTGTTCACCTGTTGATGTGTATTTAGGTTGTTTCTAGTTTGGGCCGGTTACAAGTAAAGCTGCTATGAATAATCAATCTTGTATACGTTTTTGCATAGATGGGTACTTTCATTTCTTTTGGGTCAATACCTAGAAGTAGAATGGCTGAATTATATTGTAGGTGTATTTCACCTTTTTTTTTGGAGACTGAGTCTCACTCTGTTGCCCAGGCTAGAGTGCAGTGGCATGATCTTGGCTCACTGAAACCTCGCCATCCTGGGTTCAAGCGATTCTCCTGCCTCACCCTCCCAAGTAGCTGGGATTACAGGCATGTGCCACCACGCCCAGTTAATTTTTGCATTTTCAGTAGAGATGGGATTTCACCATGTTGTCCAGGCTGGTCTCAAACTCCTGGCCTCAAGTGATCCACCTGCCTTGGCCACCTAAAGTACTGGGATTATAGGTGTGAGCCACCATACCCAGCCTATTTTAACTTTTTAAGAAACTGCCACGCTGTTTTCCAAAGTGATTGTACCATTTTACATTCTCATTATTAGTAGTGAGAGTATCAGTTCCTCCACACCCTTTCCAACAGTTGGTATTATGTTTAAAAAATTTCAGCCATCCCAATAGGCATGTAGAGATATCTCATTACAGTTTCAATTTGCATTTCCCTAACGGCTGATGGTGTGT
Organism: Homo sapiens; assembly: GCF_000001405.40. Classification (NCBI taxonomy): domain Eukaryota; kingdom Metazoa; phylum Chordata; class Mammalia; order Primates; family Hominidae; genus Homo; species Homo sapiens. The sequence goes on from NC_000021.9 coordinate 46,506,626, forward strand.
TGAACATCTTTTTATGCACCTATTTGCCATCTGTGTATCTCTTGAGGGAAAGTATCTGTTCATACTTTTGGCCTATTTTTTTTTTTAATTGTGCTTGTTTTTCTTTCTTTCTTTCTTTCTTTCTTTCTTTCTTTCTTTCTTTCTTTCTTTTCTTTTCTTTCTTTTCTTTCTTTCTTCTCTTTTTTTTTTTTTTTTTGAGACGGAGTTTCACTGTCACCCAGGCAGAGTGCAGTGGTGCGATCTTGGCTCACTGCAACATCCACCTCCCAGGTTCAAGCAATTCTCCTGCCTCAGTCTCGTGAGTAGCTGGGATTACAGGCATGTGCCACGATGCCTGGCTAATTTTTGTCTTTTTAGTAGAGACCAGGCTGGTCTTGAACTCCTCGTCTCTGCCTGCCTTGGCTTCCCAAAGTGCTGGGATTACAGTGTGAGCCACTGTGGCCAGCCAAATTGTGCTTGTTTTCTTATTGAGTTTTGAGGGCTGTTTATATATTCTAGATACAAGTCATCCCATATGAGGTTTATCATTTGTATTTTCTCCCAGTCTGGCTTGCTTTAACAATGCCTTTCAAAGAGCAGATGGTTTACATTTTTATGACATTCAGTTTACCAAATTTTTTTATATATTGTGCTTTTGTGTCATATCTAAGAAATTTTTGTCTAACCCAAGGTCACAAATGTTTTCTCCTATATTTTCTTCCAGAATTTTATAGTTTTAGTTTTTACATTTAGGTAGATAGTTCATTTTGAGTTAATTTTAGCCTAAGTATCAGGTATGAATCAAAGTTTACATTTTTGTATGTGGGTATTCAGTTGTTCTAGCATCATTTATAATAAAGACCATTCTTTTCCCACCAAGTTTCCTTGGCATCTTTAATGAAAATCGGTAGACCATGTTGGAGAGGGAAGGGTCTATTTCTGGGCTCTGGGCTCTGTGTGTTGTTCCGTTTCCTTATTTATCTGTCCTTACACCTCGTATAGCCATGACCACTGTGATTTTCTTAAAATTCTTGAAATTATACAGTTTGAGTCCTCCAACTCTGCTTTTTTTTTTTAATTTTCTGTTCTTTTTTTTTTTTTTTTTTTTTTTTTTAAGACAAAGTCTTGCTCTGTCACCCAGGATGGAGTGCAGTGGCTTGATTTTGGCTCACCGCAGCCTCTGCCTTCTGGTGTCAAGCGATTCTCCTGCCTTAGCCTCCCAAGTAGCTGGAACTCCAGGCAACTGCCACCACACTTGGCTAATTTTTTTTTCTTTACTACAGGTGCATACCAGCAAGCTTGGCTAATTTTTGTATTTTTTAGTAGAGATGGGATTTTGACCTGTTGGCCAGGCTAGTCTAGAACTCAAGTGATCTGCCCACCTCAGAACCCCAATGTGCTGGGATTACAGGGGTGAGCCACTGTGCCCAGCCCCCCATTTTTTTTTTTTTTAAATAGTGACTCTGTTGCCCAGGCTGGAGTTCACTGACATGATCATGGCTCACTGTAGCCTGAAACTTCTGGACTCAAGCAATCCTTCCTTCTCAGCCTCCCAAGGAGCAGGGACTGCAGGCACAAGCCACCACATCCAGATAATTTTTTATTTTTTAAATTTTTTGTAGAGACAGGGTCTTGCTGTGTTGACCAGGCTAGTCTTAAACTTCTGGCCTCAAGCGATCCTCTCCTGCCTTAGCTAACCAAAGTGCTGGGATTACAGCTGTGAGCCACTGCTCCTGGCTGGCCAATGACTTTTTTTTTTTTTTTTTTTTTTTGAGAAGAAGTCTCCCTCTTTCACCAAGGCTGGAGTGCAGTGGCGCAATCTCGGCTCACTGCAAGCTCCGCCTCCCGGGTTCATGCCATTCTCCTGCCTCAGCCTCCCGAGTAGCTGGGACTACAGGCGCCCGCCACCACACCCGGCTAATTTTTTGTATTTTTAGTAAAGATGGGGTTTCACTGTGTTAGCCAGGATGGTCTCGATCTCCTGACCTCGTGATCCACCTGCCTCAGCCTCCCAAAGTGCTGGGATTACAGGGCCATGACTTCTTAACATTACCATGGAATAGTCGTGACCTCATAAACTTCCTGAAAGGGACTTGGATGCCCCAGGGGTCCCTGGACCATTTAAAAAACTGCTTAGGCCGGGCGCGGTGGCACACGCCTGTGATCCCAGCAGTTTGGGAGGCCAAGGCAGGTGGATCACGAGGTGAAGAGATCGATACCATCCTGGCCAACATGGTGAAACCCCATCTCTACTAAAAATACAAATTAGCCAGGTGTGGTGGCGCATGCCTGTAGACTCAGCTACTTGGGAGGCTGAGGCAAGAGAATCGCTTGAACCCAGGAGGCGGAGATTGCAGTGAGCTGAGATCATGCCACTGCACTCTAGCCTGGCAACAGAGTGAGTCTCCGTCTAAAGCAAAAAAACAAAAACAAAAAAAAACCTGCTAGCTTAGAACAAGTCCTGTTTCCTGGAAGGCATTCAGTAAGTGTTTTCTAAATGAATTGATTCCAAAATGACTGTCCAGTGGGGCCCACACTTGGATGGATTTGTAAGCTCTGATGCATCGTGTGGTTTGTCCTTGGACCTTACACCTGTGTCCACTTCTTCAGATGTGTCCTGGCCTCAGTGCTCCTCTGTCCTTCCCGTGACAGGTGTCCCTGTGAACAGCAGAGTGTCCTCCAAAATCCAGCAGCTTCTGAACACCCTGAAGAGGCCAAAGCGCCCTCCACTGAAGGAGTTCTTTGTGGATGATTTTGAGGAATTGTTGGAAGGTAAGAGTTGTCCAACTTTGAGCTTTTCTGTTTGTATGAAAAGGGTGGCCACGAAGTTGAGAAACACAGGCAAATGTATATTATACATGGATATTGCTATATATATTCTGTTTCCAGACTCAGTGGTCACTGGGTGTAATGGTGAATTTAGAATCACATGACTGCTTCCTTTATTTGAGCAGGTAGAAAATTTGCTGCTCATATTCAAGTGACTTGGCATTTCATAAAAATTCTTCTACGGTTTTATTTAACTTACATTATTTAAATGTTTAATTTAAACTTTAACTCTGAAATACTTACCTTCTTGTGGTTTTAAAGTATTTAATTTTCAGCATAGATTTGGCTGCTTTTCAGAATTTTAGCCTCTCATATGTGAATGAAATACGTATTTAGGAAGAATACACACATATTTTTTAAAAGAGAAAACTAGCAAGCAGAAACCAGAAATGAAGCCAGTACAAACATGTGAGTGTGTCGTTAGGGCCACAGGGGCCCCATGCTGGTCCTACTCGCAGACCTTGGCTGTTTGTACAGTGACACTGCTGACAGCCGACCAGCCCAGAGTCTCCTCCACACCCGAGGATTAGACATAGCTTTCAGGAGATTATTTCCCCGTTGTAATCAGATAGTGTGTATTAGTCAGGGTTCTCTAGAGGGACGGAACTAATAGGATAGATGTATACATATAAAGGGAAGTTCATTAAGGCATATTGACTCACACGATCACAAGGTGAGGTCCCACAGTAAGCCATCTGCAAGCTGAGAGCAAGGAAGCCAGTCTGAGTCCCAGTGCTGAAGTACTTGGAATCCAATGTTCTAGGGCAGGAAGCATCCAGCACAGGAGAAAGGTGTAGGCTGGGAGGCTAGGCCAGTCTAGTCTTTCCACGTTCTTCTGCCTGCTTTATTCTGGCCGTGCTGGCAGCTGATTAAACTGTGCCCACCCAGATTTAGGGTGGGTCTGCCTTTCCCAGTCCACTGACTCAAACGTTAATCTCCTTTGGCAACACCCTCACAGACACACCCAGGAAGAATACTTTGCATCCTTCAATCCCATCAAGTTGACATCAATATTAGCCATCACACAGTGCCTTTCAAATTCAGAGTTTATTGGTATGAATGCATCTTAGAGCAGTGTTTCTTACCACTTGGGCAAATTTTGGTTATACAGCTCCTAGAAAAAGATTAATTCTTTTTAAAGTAAAAAACAAGATTAAAGTAATCTTTTTCCAGGAGCTATATAATCAAATAATCTTTTTTTTTTTTTTTTTTTTTGAGGCAGAGTCTCACTCTGTCGCCCAGGCTGGAGTGCAGTGGTGCGATCTCGAATCACTTCAAGCTCCACCTCCTGAGTTCACGCCATTCTCCTGCCTCAGCCTCCCGAGTAGCTGGTACTACAGGCGTCCACCACCACACCTGGCTAATTTTTTTTTGTATTTTTAGTAGAGACAGGGTTTCACCATGTTAACCAGGATGGTCTCGATCTCCTGACCTCATGATCCACCCGCCTCGGCCTCCCAAAGTGCTGGGATTACAGGCATGAGCCACCACGCCCAGCCTATAATCAAATAATCTTTTAATTCTTTTTCTTTGAACATAGTGATAGTTGTTTGGATCCCTAGGCTGAAGTGGTGGTTCTGCTTGCTTTCCTCCTGTGTGAGTGGGCCACCAGGTCCTATCTCCAGGCTGTGGATACCTGGCTGTTCACCGCTGTGGTGCCGGGGGTAGCAGAGGTGCCACAGTCCTGTCCAGAAGTTGGGAAAGTGGGAACCACTCCAAGGTCACCTTTGTCTGTGAGGTTGTGGTCACCAGGATGGTGGGTTGTTTTTAACTTTATTTCACAGCCGTCATCATCCATGACTAAAGCTCCTTTAATCCTTTGGTTAGTTGTCGGTGACTGTGATGCAAAAATCGAAACAAATTATTGTAAGCTTTTTTATAGTTGGGATTAAAAAACAATATTATAAACTATGAATGCTTAAAAACAGAATGTGTTCGTGGTGCTCTGAATTGCTGATTTTAAAGTTTTGATTTTGCTTGTAGTTCAGCAACCAGATCCAAATCAGCCAAAGCCTGAGGGAAGCGAGACGAGTGTGCTGAGAGGGGAGCCTCTCACTGCAGGTGTCCCCCGACCGCCGTCGCTGTTGGCCACCTTGCAGCGCTGGGGCACAACACAGCCCAAATCCCCCTGTCTGACTGCCTTGGATACAACTGGGAAAGCCGTCTACACTCTCACCTATGGCAAGTGTTAACAGAAAGCAGTTGTGCTTCTGGGTTAGCTGTAGAATGTCACACACATAACACAGCATAGACATACAGCTTGATAAATATTCCTGAGAAACCAGCACAGCTGGCAGATAAATAGAACATTGACCTATACCAGGTACCCATCCCACCGGAGGGGACCACTCACTGATGCATGGTGACTGCCATTGCTCTGGGTTCAAGTGTTTGGAGCGTTCTATGTATGCATTCTGAACAGTGTAGTTTAGTTTCGTCTTATTTTCAACTTTGTATAAGGGGAATCAGGCAGTATGTATTTCTGTGTGTTTGACATCTTTTGGTTCCATACTATGTTTTTTTTGTAACACAAATAGTAAGCATATATACAACCTGATGAATTCACAGAGTGAATATGGTCCTGTAATCAGCACTCCAAGCAGAAGTGTTGCTAGGTTCAAAGCCCCTCACACCCCTTCCACACGCAAAGGGTAACTACTGTCCTGACTGCCCACACTGTTGGCTTTACCTGCCTTTAAACAAGTGTTCTTTTAGTTTATTCTCATTGATGGTATTATTTTATCGTGTGAATATACTGGAACTTACTTACACACTCTTAAGTAGATGGACATTTGGGTGGTTTCCACTTTGGGGCTATTGTGTATAGTGCTGTTAGGGACATGCTTATGTGAGTTTCTTGGTGAGAATATGTAGGCATTTGTGCTAGGTATAAATGCAGAAGCAGAATTGTTCAGCATTAGGACATACTGCCAAACAGTTTTCCAAAGGCAGTGCAGCAGTTTTCACTCCCACAGGCAGTGAGTATGTGAGGGGTTCCAGTTATCTCTTTTCTCACCAGCTTTTGATATTGTTTATTTCATTATAGTCTTTGTTGTAGGTGTGTTGTAGCACAGGCTAATTTGCATTTGCCTGGTGACAAATTATGCTTTTCATATGCTTATTGGTTGTTTGAATATCCACATTTATGTACTATTCAAATATTTGGCTCATTTCTCTGTTTGCTAATGCTTTCATCTTTCTTTTTTATTTTTTTTCTGAGAAAAGGTTTCACTCTGTCACTCAGGCTAGAGTGCAGTGGTGCAATCATAGCTCACTGCTGCCTTGACCTCCTGGGCTCGAGATGCTCCTGCCTCAGCCTCCTGAGTAGCTGGGACCATAGGCTCACATCACCACACCCAGCTAATTTAAAAAAAAAAACAAACAAAACAAAAAAAACTTTTTTTTTGTAGAAATGGGGGGTCTCCCTATGTTGCCCAGGCTGATATCGAACTCCTGGCTAAGGCAGTCCTCCCATCTTAGCCTCTCAAAGTGCTGGGATTACAAGTGTGAGCCACTGCACCTGGCCTCTTATTTCTTTGTATGTTTCAGATAGGCATCTTTCCTGAGATGCATGTTTTGCAAATGTCTCCTCACTATTTGGATTGCCTTTTAACACTTTTAATTATGGCTTTTAATGAATGAAAAGTCTTAATGTAATCTAACTTACATGTTGTTTTTTTTTCCTGTATTGTAGCTAAGTTTTTGTCTAATTTAGAAATTTTTTACCAAACTTAAGGTCACAAAGATATTTTCCTGCATGCTCTTCTAAAACCTTTATTGTTTTACTTTTCACATTTAGGTGTGATGATCCATTTAGAATTTAATTTTGTATATTGTTGGAGTAAAGTTGTATATTGTTGGTATAAAGTTGGAGTCATTTTCTTATGAGTATCTAACTGACTCAGTATCATTTATTGAAAAGGCAATCCTTTCCCCAAAGTACTGCAGTGTTACTTTGTTATATAGTGGGTGAAAAATGTACTTGCGGGTCTGTTTCTGGGCTCCTGTTGGCGGGGGGTGTTGTCAGTCTGTTGTCTCTCCATGCTCTGAATCACTGTAGCATTAGGAGTCCTCTTGCTCTGTGATGGTTCCTCAAGATTGCCTTGACTCTTCTTGGCTCTTTGTATTTCCAAGTAAACTTTAGAATTAACTTGTCAATTTCCATAAAAATTACTACTGGGATATTGATTGGCATTGCATTGAATCTCTAGTTCAATTTGAGTAGAATTAATGTTTTATAGGTTGAGAGCATCCCAAATATGAAAATCCAAAATCCAAAATGCTCTAAAATCTGAAACTGCTTGAAGCTGACATGATGCTCAAAGAAAATGCTCATTGGAGCATTTTGGATTTCTGATTTTTGGACTTGTGATGCGATGCTCAACTGGGAAATAAATATAATGCAAATATTCCAAAATCTAAAAAAAAATTGAAATCCCAAACACTTCTAATCTCAAGCATTTCGGATAAGGGATACTCAACCTGTATTACAATTATGGAATCTTCCAGTTTATGATTGTGGAATATTTTCCCCTTTTTAAAGGCCTGCTTCAATTTCTGTCAGTAATGTTTTTATACTTTGGAATACAGAAGTCTTGAGCACCTTTTATTAGATTTATTCCTGTTACAAGTGCTGTAATTTGTAATTTTCTCTACTGATTTGTTGCTTATATATAGAATTGCAATCTATATTATTATTATTTTAAAATGATGACTTTGTGCTGGGCGCGGTGGCTCACACCTGTAATCCCAGCACTTTGGGAGGCCGAGGCAGGCGGATCATGAGGTCAGGAGATCAAGACTTTCCTGGCTAACGCGGTGAAACCCCGTCTCTACTAAAAAAAATACAAAAATTAGCCGGGCGTGGTGGTGGGCGCCTGTAGTCCCAGCTACTTGGCAGGCTGAGGCAGGAGAACGGCATGAACCCAGGAGGCGGAGCTTGCAGTGAGCTGAGATCGCACCACTGCACTCCAGCCTGGGCGACAGAGCAAGACTCCATCTCAAAAAAAAAAAAAATGATGACTTTGTATCCAGTTATCTCACTAAGTTAACTTATTAGTTCTTTGTTTACTCATAATTAGAAGTTTGTCTATATATCTTTTGTATTACCTGTCTACAAAAATCACATTATTGGTGAATAATGATAGTGTTATTTTGTCCTTTCCAATACTTAAACTTTTATTCTTTTTTTTTTTTTTTTTTTTTTTGGTTTTTTTTTTTTTGCACAAGCTAGAACCTCCAGTACAGTGTGAAATAGAACAATGTTGAAGAGTGGGCATTCTTGCCTGTTTTTCCATCTGAGGAAAAGCCTGTGGTAATTAAGTATGATGTGTTCTGTAGTTTTGTTTGCTTGTTTGTTGGTAGAAACTGTCAGATTAAGAACGTTCCCTTCTCCTTGTTTGTTAAAAGTTGTTATCATGAGTTGGGATTGAATTTTGTCAAATGCTTTTTCTGCTGCTAGAAAGAAGATCATATGATTTTCCTCCTTCATTAATTTGGTGAATTATTTTGATTAATTTTCTAATGTAAAGCAGCCGTTCATTTGTAGAATAAATCCCACTTGGCCATAATATCTTACCCTTTTAAATATACACCCAGATTTAATTTGCCAATAAGTTGTTTAGGATTTTTACGTCTGTTTTCATTAGAAAAATTGATCTGTAATTCTTTAAGAAAGGAGCCCATTGCCAGCCTTTGATGAGTATGCCTAGCTCACAGCCTCAACTGTTAAACCAGCGTTCAAATCTAGGTCATGCTATTGGCAGAGCAGTCCCTGGCCAATGGCCAAGTAAGGCAGTGGGACAAGGGCCTATTTTCTGTTAGCATGGACTTTCCTTAAAAACAGCATTGGGCTTGTGGAGACTGTCAGTTCTACATTGTGGCTTGACAGCTCCTCCTGCCCAATCTTGCTACCTGTCTTTTCCTATCACAGATTTTTATTCTTTAGTAATCCTTTTGCATGCCTGAGCCTTTCTCAGCGTCTGCTTTGTGAAGAACCCAGCCTGTGACACACTTCCTCTTTTTTTTTTTTTATATATTCTCCTTGGCTTGCAGTTTAAGTCTGCATTTATTTACAAAGTGTAAGATATTACTACCATTGTGTGTATTTATTTATTTTTTTGAGACAAGGTTGTGTTCGGTCACCCAGGCTGGAGTGCAAGGGCGTGATCTCGGCTCACTGCAAGCTCCACCCCCCAGGCTCAGGTGATCCTCCCACCTCAGCCTCCCTTTTACCTGGGACCACAGGCACACACCATCATGCTTGGCTACTTTTTTGTATTTTTAGTGTAGTCGAGGTCTCGCCATGTGGCCTGGGCTGGTCTCAAACTCCTGAGCTCAAGCAGTCTGCCGGCCTCCCTCCCAAAGTGCTGGGATTACAGGCGTGAGCTCCCATGCCCGGCCCATTGTTTTTTGTTTGTTTGTTGTTTTAATCAACCATACATTTTTATTCTTTCTTTTACTATATACATTCCTTCCTGAGATTCTGTATTTTCCTGGGTAATCATTTCCTTCTGGCCTGTAGAACTTCCTGTATGTTCGTTATACTGTAGCTTTGCTGGCAACTTCATTTTTGAAGGTTATATTTCGTGGTGGTTTATCTTCTTTCAGCAATGCAAAGATATTGTTTATAGGCTTTTGAGAAGATGCCAGACCATTGTTGCTCTATTGACAGTAATGTGTATGGCCGCTTAAAAAGTGTTCTTTTTATTTGAATTGCAGCCGTCTTACTATGACATTTAGAGGTGATGTTCTTTGAAAATTTCCTGTGATGTTCTTTGAAATTTTCAAGATGTCCACAGGGCTTCTTGAATCTGTAGAATGGTGTCTTTCATCTGTTTGAGAAAAATTACAGCCATCTTCTCTTACTATATTGCTTCTTCCTCACTTTTTTTCTTCTCTCCTTCTGGGACTCCAGTTACACTTATACTTTTTCCCTGAGTCCTACATTTTTAATGTTCTTTTTTATATTTTGCATTCTTTCTTATATATACTTCAATTTGTATATTTTCTATTTTCCTTTATTCAAATTCTTTAATCTTGTCTTCTGAAATTTCTTTTTTTTTTTTTTTTTTTTTGAGATGGAGTCTGGCTCTGTCGCCCAGGCTGGAGTGCAAGTGGTGCGATGTCAGCTCACTGCAAGCTCCGCCTCCTGGGTTCACGCCATTTTCCTGCCTCAGCCTCCTGAATAGCTGGGACTATAGGCGCCTGCCACCGCACCCAGCTAATTTTTTTGTGTTTTTAGTAGAGACAGGGTTTCACTGTGTTAGCCAGGATGGTCTCGATCTCCTGACGTCATGATCCACCTGCCTCGGCCTCCCAAAGTGCTGGGATTACAGCCATGAGCCACCGCTCTTGGCCCTGAAATTTCTAATCTGCTGTGAAATCCTGATGAGTTCCTTATTTTAGATATTGCCTTTTCAGTTTAGAATTTTCATTTCTTTATTATAGTTACTATTCTAATACTCTGGAAAAATTTCTCATTATTCCATACACTTTCCTAATCTTTGCTTCTGCTGCCTTGAATACACACATTAATTATTGTAAATGAAAGTCTTTGTTAGCTAACACCAATATCTGTATCACCTTTGGGTCTGTTGCTCTTGTCTGTGTTTTCTCTCTCTTTTTTTTTTTTTTTTTTTTTTTTTTTGAGACAGAGTCTTGCTCTGTTGCCCACACTGGAGTGCAGTGGTGATCACAACTCACTGCAGCCTTGACTTCTTGGGCTCAAGAGGTCCTCCCACCACAGCCTCCTGAGTAGCTGGGACTACAGGTGCACAGCACTACGCCCAGCTAATTTTTTCTTTCTTTCTTATTTTCTTTTTTTTATAGAGATGGGGTTTCACTGTGTTGTCCAGGCTGGTCTTGAACTCCTGGGCTCAAGTGACCTGCCTGCCTCAGCCTCCCAAAGTGCTGGATTACAGGCGTGAGCCACCATGCCTGGCCTTTTTGATTGAATATTGTATGTTGTGTATAAAAACATTATGGCAGGTCCAGACAATGCCATCTTCCTTAAGAGAAACCTCTTTCCCCTCCAAGTAGAGTAGTGGCTGGCTGGTCGCTGCAGTCCAGTCATGCCTGGCCCAGCCGGCCTTTGCTCTCCTCTGGCTCTCCTGGGCTTTCTGCCAGTGCCTGGTGTGTCCATGTGTCTCTTTCCTCTGATGGCTTCCCAGCCGTGGCGTTGGTCTCCTCGTGGCTTCTTAACAACCCCATTCTGCTTTTCAGAGGTTTTCCACATGGGCTCTTGGTCTCCTGCTGCACACAGCCAGAGGATTCAGCACATGTCCTGCAGGAGGTGGCTGTGCTCTCGAGACTCCTAGCCTCTACCAAAAGCTCTGCAGGTTTCTTCATGTCCTGGTGGGACTGCTCCAGGTGGATACTCAGCCCCCCGTGGGGGCTGGAATCCCTGAACATGGACAGCGTAAAGACAGCTGCAGCTCAGCTCACTTTCCGGAGGGTTTTCCCTCTCTGGAATCTTAACTCCTCTAGTTGTCTTTGCTGAGCAGCAACTTGCTGCCTCCAAAAGATCATTTCTGCATTTTATTCAGTTTTTAAACTCATCTTAGGCAGGAGTGCTGGTCTGCCACCAGTACCCTCTCCTACTCGGAAGCAGAGTCTTCCACCATTGTGCTTTTAAAATTCATCCATGTTATTGCGGGTAGTTGTAATTCATTTATTTCTGTTGAGGAATGAATATATCAGAATTTACTTAAGCATTATGCTGTTGCTGGAATACATGGGCTGTATCCAGTTTTAGCTACTAGAAACAGTGCTCCCAGGAAGATTCTGGTGTGTGCCACGTGGTAGCTAAGCATATGTTTCTGAAGGTTGAGTACTTAGGAGTGGAAGTACTAGGTCTAGGGTTATGGGCACCTTCACATTGCTGAGATGGCATCACCGTTCTCCAGTTCACCCTTGGCCCATCAGTGTGGGTGGGCCCTACCTGCTCCCCATCATTATCAGCACTTGGTATTGTCAGGCTTATGAATTTTAGCTACTCTCGTGAGAATATGGTGGTATTTCATTGTGGTTTTAATGTGCATTTTACTGATAACTAAATAGATTGAGATCTTTCCTGTCATTTTAACTTGCTCTTTTGTTAAGTACCCCTTGAATCTTTTACACATTTTTTCTGTAGTGAACGGCTGGGCACGGTGGCTTACATCTATACTCCCAGCACTTTGGGAGGCTGAGATGGGTGAATCACTTGAGGCTAGGAGTTTGAGACCAGCCTGGCCAACATGGCAAAAGCCTGTCTCTACTAAAAATACAAAAATCAGCCGGGTGTGGTGGCATGCGCCTATAGTCCCAGCTACTCGGGAGGCTGAGGCATGAGAATTGCTTGAACCCAGGAGGTGGAGGTTACAGTGAGCCAAGATTGCACCGCTGCACTGCAGCCTAAGTGACAGAGCGAGACCCTGTCTCAAGAAGTATATGTAAATAAAATGAAAACAAGTTTATTAAGAAAGCAAAGGAATAAAAGAATGGCTACTCCATAGGCAGACCAGCAGCTTGGGCTGCTGGACTAAGAATACTTAGAGTTATTTCTTGACTATATGCTAAACAAGGGGTGGATTATTCATAAATTTTCTGGGAAAGGGGTGGGCAGTTTCTGGAACTGAGGGTTCCTCCCATTTTAGACCATCTAGGATAACTTCCTGACGTTGCCATGGCTGCTGTAAACTGTCATGGCACTGGTGGGAGTGTCTTTTAGCATGCCAATCATTGTAAGTAGTATATAATGAGCAGTGAGTTCAACCAGAGGTCACTTACATTGCCATCTTCATTTGCGGGGACTTGGCCAGCTTCTTCACCACACATGCTGTTTTATCAGTAAGGTCTTTATGACCTGTATCTTGTGCCGACCTCCTATCTCATCCTGTGACTTAGAATGCCTAACTTCTGGGGGTGCAGCCCAGCAGATCTCAGCCTTATTTTACCTAGCCCCTATTCAAGATGGAGTTGCTCTGGTTTAAACGCCTCTGACATATTTCCCCTCTCTGTTTTATGAGAGAAGCCTTAATTCTAAAGGTTGTAGAGGGACAAAGATTCATCTTCTATAACTTCTTCAGGCTGAACAGGAGTGATGACATTCCTGCCTAACTATTAGGGTCTTTTATATTTGAGAAAGAAAGGAGCTAAGTCAGAAAGCATCAGTATGGTGAGGGCCATTCATAACGCCAAGAAAATTTGGTATCTGGAAGATTAATAAGTGTTCAGTTTAAGAAAACATTGAGTAAGCTTATCCTGCATTCCTACACAGAGTACAACAGCAATATATTCCACAACAGTAAAACAAAATAAGTAAAATTATCCCAAGTAAATTAAATAGGGATTTTCATGAACTGGGTAACTGTTGGAACTAAGATGATATGGGATTGCTAGCTGATTCCAGTGTGCCCAGAATTAGAATATTGATCTAGATTTTTTTTTTTTTTTTTTTTTTTTTTTTTTTTTTTTTGAGATGGAGTCTTGCTCTGCTGCTCAGGCTGGAGTGCAGTGGTGCGATCTCGGCTCACTGCAAGCTCCGCCTCCAGGGTTCACGCCATTCTCCTGCCTCAGCCTCCCAAGTAGCTGGGACTACAGGCACCCGCCACCACGCCCGGCTAATGTTTTGTATTTTTAGTAGAGACGGGGTTTCACCATGTTAGCCAGGACGGTCTCGATCTCCTGACCTTGTGATACACCCATCTCGGCCTCCTCAAGTGCTGGGATTACAGGCATGAGCCACCGCACCCAGCCTGATCCAGATTTTTACATTACCCATCTCTCTTGTTTCTCTCTACTTTACTCAATTGTTAAAAGCTGTAAATAGCTCAAAAGAGAAGTTTTCTTGGCTCTGAAAAACAAAACAAAGAATCAGCAACAATTTAAGCAAAAAGTCAAAACAAGTTACTTCTGTTTTCTACTGGTTCTATTAGTCCTATTAGTTCAGCTCATGTCAAAACAAGTTACTTCTGTCTTCTATTAGTTCTGTTAGTCCTATTAGTTCAGCTCATGCAGTTAACTCCTGTTCGATATTCATGAACATTTTGGCTCTCCATGAGAGTCCTGAAAGTTTTTCCTCTATTCTAATGTCGCAACCTCCAAAGTTATCAGAAACCTGCATTCAAAAACACCTGTTAGAGTTCTCTAGTTGATTATAAAACCACCTTCTAAAGAGGACCCAAACAAGACAACAATTTTGTATGGATGACAGAATGCCTTAGGGCAGCCTCTACAAAAGCCACAATTGACTAGGAATTTTGATTACTTCTGTGACATGGAACAATTTAACATACCAATTATATTAATAACATGTACTGTCATATCAGAGTTATAGAAGTTTCACACGATTTTGGAACACAAACCAATAACATATTTATACAAATATAGCCCAAAGAAAGCCACGCATCATTTCATATCTGACAGTGCTTGCTGTGTGATTTTTATACCAAATAAGCTGAATATGTCATTTTTTGGACTTGAGAGGACCTAATATCTAAAAGATTAATTAGGTCAGGAAAAGGCAGAATTTAGAGTATGATGTTGGAAAGTTTGTCAAATATTAAAGGTTTAAACGCTTGATATTACAAAATAGAATCCCAGGTCACCATAAGTCATTCATTTACCCAAAATGATAACTCAAAAATTTTTAAAAGGCAAAATCCTTTACTCATTAATAGAAGGAAGACTTAGCTTTCCAAATAATCTGTCTCCTTTCTTTCCCTTCTTTTTCCTATAGTTTATTCAAAAGGCAAACAAAAATCTTTGTTTTCTTTTCTTTTTTTTTCCTGAGACGGAGTCTCACTCTGTCACCCAGGTTGAAGTGCAGTGGCGTGATCTCGGCTCACTGCAACCTCCGCCTCCTGGGTTCAAGCAATTCTTCTGCCCCAGCCTCCTGAGTAGCTGGGACTACAGGTGTGCACCACCATGCCTGGCTAATTTTTGTATTTTTAGTAGAGACCGGTTTTCACCATGTTGGCCAGGCTTATCTCAAACTCCTGACCTCAAGTGATCTGCCTGCCCTGGCCTCCCAAATTGCTGGGATTACAGGCATGAGCCATTACACCCAGCCATCTTTCATTATTTTTTTAATATAAAAATCCTGCTCAAGGGAGAAAGCAAAATTTCACCATTGCATTAGCGCATTATTGATGTCAAACCCAATTCTTAATAAAACCTTGTAGACAAATCTATTCAACCATAAGGTAAGATTCTCATAAACCTTTTATAACCCTTTACACTTTTTGTTAAAGAGCAGATTCATGCTCCAAGAAAACTGTTGTGCTTTTATTCCAGTATTCAATTTATGGAAAAACTGAATAATACCCCTTTAACTTTAGGCCAGTGTGTTCACACACAATTTCTTTTACAAGATTAATTTTTCACAAACCTTCCACAACTTGCTCAAACCTTCAGCATTATTCTATCCAACTGAAAATAATCCTTTAACCCTTTAATCTAGGCAAAAAAAAATCCACATTCCCATGACTTCTTACAATCTTTTTACCAAAAACACATTTCACTTTCCGTGCACATTTCACACTTGCAGGTAGAACTGCTTTTCCCATAGTCCCATAGTCTCAAGTGCATGTTACATTGTTAACCGAAGAAGCAGTTTATGACCGTAAAGCATTTAGCAAACCTAATATCTGACCTGTCTAATTTAGACCAAATGCCTAAATTTTTGAAGATATTTTTATTTTACCAATAGTCTTTAAAACTGTCTTTATTTCCCAAAGGTTACTTAAGTCACATGAACTAAAAGGCATTACAGTTTTAATTTTTCTGACAAGATATTTGGTTTAAGGTCTTAGTATTTTTAAACCAGTTAATCAAAGCTCTTTCATATATAAACATCACACACATAACATGTAAATAGACAGAAGATCCAGGAGACGTAAGATTTTCCATTTTCCAGTTTCTAAGTTTCTTAACTGGATTACTGGCTTCAGGGTGGAGCTCTTTGCTAAACAGGGCTAGGGAAACATGCAGTTTCTGGAGCCTAATAAGCAGCTGGAAGGCAAAGCAGATTCCAAAAATCAAAGTTCTCATTTCTATACCAGATACTGGATCCTCAAAAAGGGAATCAGCCCATCCCCCATGGGAGTGTTATCTCTCAGTGGGGCTTGGGGGACATTTCCATACCTTCTAGGTGGCCAAGAGCATGCTTCTCTGATCCAAACATGCAGAGAGGTGTGTATTCCCCTACAACTGCCATTAGCTACCCCCAAAGTATATTTCCTCCCTAGTTATTACACCAGAGCTCTCTCGTCATGTGAAATCAAAACCGTCAGATAACACAGTGCTGCAAAACAGAGCAGAGCCTTAGATTTTGAGATTTTAAATTTTAAATTCCTGGGGTTTCATGAGGAAAACAGAGGTTCTTCCCAAAATGGGGTCTGTGGCTCCTCCTCTGTTTCCCCCAAAGAGTCCCAGGCTGTTAGACCTTGAATATCTGCTTTTAAGGTGACTTTTAACCATAGTGCTCTTTTATTTTTTTAATTAATTTAAAAAAATTTTTTTTTTGAGATGGAGTCTTGCTCTTGTTGCCCAGGCTGGAGTGTAATGGCGCGATCTCAGGTCACCGCAACCTCTGTCTCCCAGGTTCAAGCGATTCTCCTGCCTCAGCCTCCCGAGTAGCTGGGATTACAGGCATGTGCCACCATGCCCAGCTAATTTTGTATTTTTAGTAGAGATGGGGTTTCTCCATGTTGATCAGGCTGGTCTCAAACTCCTGACCTCAGGTGATCCACCCGCCTTGGCCTTCCAAAGTGCTGGGATTATAGATGTGAGCCACCAATGCCTAGCTTCTTATTTATTTATTTATTTATTTTTTGAGATGGAGTCTGGCTCTGTCGCCCAGGCTGGAGTGCAGTGGCGTGATCTTGGCTCACTGCAACCTCCGCCTCCCAGGTTCAAGCAGTTCTCCTGCCTCAACCTCCTGAGTAGCTAGGATTACAGGCGTGCGCCTGGCTAATTTTTTTTTTTTTTTTTTTTTTTTTGTATTTTTAGTAGAGACGGGGTTTCACCATGTTGGCCAGGCTGGTCTTGAACCCCTGATCTTGTGATCCACCCGCCTCAGCCACCCAAAGTGCTGGGATTACAGGTATGAGCCACTGCACCTGGCCCATAGTGCTTTTTTTTAAAATTCCTTTTAAATCTCTTATTACCCAACTTCAGCCAGGCCTTACGGCCAAAGGTAACCTCCCAGGTGAAAACAATAAACTTTAGCCAATAAGCTACAGTATTGGGCACTTGGACTATTCCCAGAAGAAGTCTAGAGCATCCAATTCTGAGCTTGCAAAGGCTTTTAACTGCTCGAGATAACCTTTAGAGCTAACTATGATATGAACCCTCAAATTCCTGTTCACTCGGTGGAAACCAAGAGAAAGTACCTCCGCGTGGTTACAAGTCAACTCCCAAGGACATTTTTCAACATGTGGTCTCTGGGCAAGATGAAGGAGCAGTTGCCCTGAGTAACAGAAAAGATGGAAAAGAGAAAGGGAGAAAAGCATTGCCTATGGCAGTATGGGGAAGGTGAGGAGCTCAGGGAGGCCGGAGAAAGACCCAGCCATTGCGGCGACGCTGAATCAAAAGTTCAGGCAGCCGCTTGTCAGTAATGAAGGGATCTTTTCCAGCTGTCCCGTCAGCTCTGGAGTTTCCCCTTTTGGGGAGAAAAAATGCTCCCATGTTCCATGATCCTGTACATGCCTAACCTTGTCACCCAAAGCCGTCAGCAAAGAGTGCAAGGCAGATGAATCCAGAGAGAATAGTGGTTAACATTCTGTAGTGCCAGATCCATTCTTGGCCACGAGGGACTTTACTGAAGGGGGACCCTCTAACCCCTTATATCTTAGGAAGGTCTCTAACCTTCCCAAGTTGGGCCTCGAACCCAGGTTTGTTCAAGTGCCCTTGCCTTTTATTAAGAGGGGCCTTTAACCCACTCTGTCTTAGGAGAAACTCTGACTCCCCTAAGTTGGGACTCTAACCCAGTTCCATCCTTTACCCTGGTAAATGCACCCCACTTACCCAAAGTCGGCCAATTGGTGCTGTGGTCTTATCTCCTTTGGGTCGGGGGTCTCCTCAGTATTGTCCCTTTGGAATTCACCGGGAAGATGTTCCCAGAAAGGGATCCTATTCCAGACCCCAAGAGAGGCTCCTTGGACCTTGTGCAAGAAAGAATTCAGGGCAAGTCAGTGTAGTAAAGTGAAAGCAAGTTTATTAAGAAAGCAAAGGAGTAAAAGAATGGCTACTCCCTAGGCAGAGCAGCTGCACCTTTTCTAATACAGGATCATTTATAGGAATTTTTTATATTATATTCTGGATCCCAGCCCTGTGTCAGTAATACCTTGCGAGAGTTCTCTCCCTCTTTGTGGCTGGCTTTCCACTAATGGTAGCTTAGTGAACAGAAGTTCTATCAATCACCTTCTTTTCTTTTATGATTTTTGCTTTTTGCTTTTTTTTTTTTTTTTTTTTTTTTTTTTTTTTGAGACAGAGTCTTACTCTTTTGCACAGGCTGGAGTGCTGTGGCGTGATCTTGGCTCACTGCAGCCTCTGCCTTCCGGATCAAACAATTATTACGCATCAGCCTCCCAAGTAGCTGGGAGTACAGGTGTGCACCACCAGGCCTGGCTAATTTTTTGTATTTTTAGTAGAGTCAGGGTTTCACTGTGTTGACCAGGCTGGTCTCGAACTCCTGACCTCAGGTGATCCACCTGCCTTGGCCTCCCAGAGTGCTGGGATTACAGTTGTGAGCCACCATGCCTGGCCCGATTTTTGCTTTTATGTTCTCTTTAAGTACTGTTTCCCTTGGCTGAGATCAAAACATTATTCCATTAATTTGGGAAAATGCTGTTGTTTTACTGTTCACATTTAGGTCTGCCATTCACCTGGAATGTGTTTTTGTGAATGGTGTGGGACTGGGTTCCCGGGTTCGTTTCTAAAGAAAGATAACCTACTGTCCCGTTCTTGTCTAAGGAGGAGACAGCCCTTGCCCCACTCTTCTGTGGTGGCACGTGGGTCATCAGTTGAGTTGTCCACACATGGGTGGATCTGTTTTGCTGTTCTCTGTTTTATTTCACTGATTTATTTTCTATCTTTGTGCCTATACCACACTGTCTTAATTGCCATAGTTTTATAATAAGTCTTGACATCTGTAGAGAAAGCCTGCCATCTTGTTTTCTTCTTCAAAAGTATCTTACATGCTCACTTTGGCAGCACATACACTAAAACTGGAATGATGTAGAGAAGATGAGCATGGTACCTGTGCAAGGATGACACACTTTTGTGAAATGTTCCATATTTAAAAAACTGAAAAAAAGAGTGTCTTAGCAATTCTTACCCTGTGCATTTCTGGATCCACTTTAGAATGAGCTTATCAGGTGTCACAGTATACCTACTGAGATTATTAGCATTACTTTGAGTCTTAAGAGAATTAACACCTTTGCATTATTATTATTATTATTATTATTATTATTATTATTATTATTATTATTATTATTATTATTTTGAGATGGAGTTTCGCTCTTGTTGCCCGGGCTGGAGTGCAATGGCACAATCTCAGCTCACTGCAACCTCTGCCTCCCGGGTTCAAGTGATTCTTCTGCCTCAGTCTCCTGAGTAGCTGGGATTACAGGCGCCTGCCACCACACCCGGCTAATTTTTTTTATTTTTAGTAGAGATGGGGTTTCACCATGTTGGCCAGGCTGGTCTCGAACTCCAGACCTCAGGTGATCCACCTGCCTTGGCCTCCCAAAGTGCTAGGATTACAAGCGTGAGCCACCCGCACCTGGCCACCTTTGCATTATTGAGTCTTCCAGCCCTTGGACATCTGTCCCTCCATTCAAATATTTTTTACTTTATCTCAGTAATGTATGGTTTTCTGTGGGGAGATTTTGCATATTTCTTGTGACAGTCTCAAGTACTTAGTGTGTGTGTGTTTTAAGCTTGTGGTGGATACTTTCATCAAAAACGTTCATTCCTTTTTTTTTTTTTTTGAGACAGAGTTTCGCTTTGTTGTCCAGGCTGGAGTGCAGTGGCACGATCTTGGCTCACTGCAACCTCCGCCTCCTGGATTCAAGCAATTCTCATGCCTCAGCCTCCTGAGTAGCTGGGATTACAAGTGCCTGCCTCCATGTCCGCCTGATTTTTTGTATTTTAGTAGAGACAGGGTTTTACCATCTCACCCAGGCTGGTCTTGAACGCCTCAGCTCAGGCAATCTGCCCGTCTCAGCCTCCCAAAGTGCCAGGATTACAGGTGTGAGCCACTGCGCCAGGCCTGTTTACTCTGTATTGCTAGTATGTAGAAATCAAATGGTGTTTGTATGTTGATATATTTAGCAGCCTTGCTAAATTCAGTTACAAAAGATTCATAAGCTACACCATCGTGTCATCTGCAAATAATGGTAGTTATATTTCCAGTTGTTCAGCTTTTTCTCCCTTTTTGCACTGGCTAAGCCTTTCAGTAAAATGCTGAAAACAGACATCCTTTACTTACTTCTCTCAGAGGGGAAGCTTTCAATATCCAACCATTAATTATGATATTTCCTGTTGGGTTTCTAAAGATGCCCCTTATCACATTAAGGAAGTATGTTTCCTTTTATTCTGAGTTTAAGAAGAATTTCAAAAATCATTTAAAATCATTTTAAAATCATGAATGATTTAAACTGTTTTTCTTTTCTTCCATCTATTGATATGATTGTTTTATTTTTCACCTTTATTTTGTTAATGTGGCAAATTATGTGGGTTTTCTGTTGAACCTCTTTGCATTCCTGAGATAAAACTGACTTGGTCATGATGCATTATTCTTTTTATGTAGCTGGATTCAGTTTGAAATTCTTTATGCATTACAATTATTAACACCTTAAACTGACCTTTTAAAATAGGCTAAAACAGTGGTTTGAGTTGAGGTTTTTTTTTTTTTTTTTTTTGAGAGGGAGTCTCACTCTCGCCCAGGCTAGAGGACAGTGGCACAGTCTCGTCTCACTGCAACCTCTGCCTCCTGGGTTCAAGCAGTTCTCCTGCCTCGGCCTCCTGAGTAGTTGGGATTACAGTGTGTGCCACCACTCCCAGATAATTTTTTGTATTTTTAGTAGAGACAGGGTTTCACCGTGTTGACCAGTCTGGTCTCGAACTCCTGACCTCAGATGATCCACCCATCTTGGCCTCCCAAAGTGCTGGAATTACAGGCATGAGTCACCGTGCCCAGTCTAGTATTTTTTTTTTCTCATTCATTTCTCAGGTCCCACAGTTCACTTATTTCATAGTGTTGCACCTGAGCTTCATATTATTACACGGGAAATTGAGCGCTCATTTGCAGGGCATGGCTACTCAACCTGCTTGCGTTGTGCCACAGGGACTTAAAGGGCTCAGTGATGACTTTGTGTTGCTTCTTTGATAGGCTGCTTGGTGAGGGGGTGTTAAGGCTCCTTCAAGTGTGGGGGGTTAGACTCAGATTTCTCAGTCTTCCTGTCCCATGGTCACCCCTGCCTCTGTCGTCCTCTCTAGACACCCCCAGTCCTCTAGGCTTTTCCTTTCTCTATTGTCCTGTCTTCCTCAGTGAAGCTCTCCCCTATTGAGTGCTTATGAGCATAGCAGCTGCGCCAGGAGGGGTGTGTGGTGGGAAGGACCTCAGGGGATAAGAGCTGGTTCCTGGGCCCTGTGCCTGGCGTGAGGTCCTGATGGCTTTCCAAGTAAAGAATGGATGGCATTGATACCCGGATCACCTTTGGATCTGTTGCTTTGGTTTATATTGTCTCTTGATTTTTGGTCAGGGGAACTTCTCTTTGGGGATGGCTGGTATTTTAACATCTTAAATTTAACATATTAAATTAGGAATTTAACATGTTAAAACAAAGATATGACCCATTTCATGAATTGTTGTAAAGATTAAAGAAATTATGTGCTACTCTTACAAATGATGTAATTGAGGGATATTTAACGTAATGAAAATCCATTTACAATGCAATATTAATTTAAAAAGTAGGGTGAAGTATCTCATTTCTTGAAAATTTTACAGGCATGTATACGTGTTTATATGTGTATAGCTGTATATATATGCACACATATGTACATATACATATGTATACCAAATACTGACTTTTTCTGCTTGCTTTTTTTTTTTTTTTTTTTTTTTTTTTTTTTTTTTTTTTTTAGATAATGTCTTTATTGCCCAGGCTGGCTCTCACTGCAACCTCCACCTTCCAGGTTCAAGCAATTCTCATGCTTCAGCCTCCCGAGCAGCTGGGATTACAGGCACACACCACCACACTGAGCTAATTTTTTGTATTTTTAGCAGAGATGGGGTTTTGCCATGTTGGCCAGGCTGGTCTCAAACTCCTGGCCTCAAGTGATCTGCCTGCCTCGTCCTTCCAAAGTACAGGGATTACAGGTGTGAGTCACTGCAACCTGCCTCTGCTGGCTCTTCTGTAGTCCAGATTTTCTGTAATAAAATCCTATTTTATTTTTGTATTAAGAAAAATAAATCTGTAAGCTATTTTTAAGAGAAAACAATGATGTTCATTACAACATTGTGCAGAATAGTTATTAGTTGGAAACTACCTAAATTTCCACTAATGGGGTAATGGTATATTTCGGGGTATTTTGGTTTCTACATTAAAATGTTAATTACTTGTTTCTTAAATTTTACATTGCTTAGTATTTTTATTTTGTTTTAGGTAAACTTTGGAGTCGGAGTTTAAAACTAGCTTATACTCTACTTAATAAACTGACAAGTAAGAATGAACCTCTACTTAAACCTGGAGACAGAGTAAGTAACTAGAATGTCACTTTGTTGGAAGGAGCAAAAGCAGGGACTTAAATAATCTGTTTCATTGAAATTAGTGTTCTATCATTTAGTTAGAATTACAGCATTAATACAAGGGATTTAAAATCAGCAGTGAGGACTGGGTGCGGTGGCTCATGCCTGTAATCCTAGCACTTTGGGAGGCTGTGGTGAGCGGATTGCCTGAGCTCAGGAGTTTGAGACCAGCCTGGGCAACATGGCAAAACCCTGTCTCTACTAAAAATACAAAAAATTAGCTGGGCGTGGTGGTGCGTGCCTGTAATGCCAGCTACCCGGGAGGCTGAGGCATGAGAATCTCTTGAACCCAGGAGGTGGAGGTTGTAGTGAGCCAAGATCTCGCCACTGCACTCCAGCCTGGCGACAGAGTGAGACTCCGTCTCAAAGAGAAAAAAAAAAAAAAGCAGTGAAAAATATTAAATATGGCAAAGTTTGTGATGTAGAGTAAAGCAGCATTCTTTTTCTGCACTCGTTGTTTCATTGTTTGTCCACTGTTTCTTCATCTTCTTTTCTGTTTGACTTCATATATGTTGATATTAAAAATGTTAGATTCCAGAGCTTAGATTTTATGAATTAAAATCTGAAGGTCTGAAACCCTGCTGTGAAATTCTGTATTTTTATCTCCTTCCCTATTCTATGTGTCCAGGTAACCTCCTTGTACCTATCTGCCAAAATAGGATGCTGGAGACTTATTCTCTTGTGCTACACTGCCCTATATGGTTGGCAGTAGCCATTTGGGGCTATTTAAATTAACCAAAATTAAATAAAATAAAAAATTTAGTTTCTTGGTTGCACAAGCCACATTTCAAGGGCTCAGTAGGAGTGTGGCTAGTAGCTACTGTATTTATAGATCAGAGGTAGAACATTTCTGTCATCATAGAAACTTCTGTTGGACAGTACTACTGTAGGCAAGCTGGACCAGACCGGAGGACCCTGGTATACTAGAAAGTCCAGGGTGGAAAATAGGAGAACATGGTGAAAATCAACATACCAGTGAAATCCCCTAGTGAGAAGGTCACCTGTGTCAGATCACCCAACAAGGAAACTGCAGGTTAACAAGCTGGCAGACAGTTCCAAGTAGCTCTTTCAGTGCCTAAGTCTTTAATATGAACTATTAGCCAAGGACTTTTAAGAAGGAAATGTCAATATGAGAGAAAATACCAAAAGACAAAGAAAAGGGAAGGGAAGAGAGGGAGTGAGAAAGAGACAAGAAAAGTAAGGAAGGGAGGAAAGAGGAAACAACAAGGAAAGCTAGATACAGAAAACAATGTTTCTAAAAAGTGAGTATTAATATTCTTGGAAATCAGAGATGAAGATGTTTCAT
Source organism: Homo sapiens (assembly GCF_000001405.40). Classification (NCBI taxonomy): domain Eukaryota; kingdom Metazoa; phylum Chordata; class Mammalia; order Primates; family Hominidae; genus Homo; species Homo sapiens. Next base: position 46,530,541 of record NC_000021.9, read on the forward strand.
AAGTCAAGAAAAGGATGCCGGTAGGAAAGACTAAGAGATGGAGAGCGGAGTAAAATAGGACAAAAAGACTCGATCAAGAAGACACAACACCTGACTGATAACTGGAGTCGAGAAAGAGAAAGGAGAACAGAAAGTAGAACATTTTAAATGAAAATAGTAATTCAGGACAATATCCCGGACCTGGAGAGTGTAAACATTCAAGGATGCACACCAAAACGCATGCCCATAATATTGCATAATACGAGGGGTACAGAAAAGAATCCCAGAGCTTTCAGGGGAAAAGTAGGATGTACACAAAGGATTGGCAATGACAGTGGCTTTTGGGATTTCTCATTGGTAAAACTGAAAGAGAGTGGAATGATGCTTCAGACATTCAGAGGGAATATAATTTTAACTTAAAATTCTGTTCCCAGAGATTCAACAGATTTGAGAATAGTATAGCCATTTTCAGACATGCAGGACTCAGAAACGTTTGGCTCGCAAGCACTTTCTTGTCAAGTTCTTAGAAGATGTCCCTCAGCCACATGAGTGAGTGAGTGAGTAGGGTGCAAGCAGGAGGACCACAGTGGAGGCCCCAGGACGATCACTGGCAGCAGTCCAGGGGGGGCAGCAGAGCCACCATCAGGAGAACCAAGACTCCAGGGTGGGGTGGAATCCTCAGCACCCACCATCAGGAGAACCGAGACCCTCAGCAGTGGAGTCCTCAGCAGCAGGGGACACTCACGGCTCTCCTGAGTGGGTGGTTATTTGGAAAATGACCCACCAGTAGGTGGGTATTTGACCCAGCTGAGGGAGTATTTTAAAACAAATTAGCTAGAGAATACACAGAAAGCAACGCAAGTAGAAATGGAGGTAGCTGTTATCAGAAAAGAAAGGAAATGTGTACTTGGCTATAAAAATGTAAACAGTTTAAGAATAATACTTTATGATATGTTGTGCTCATAGATGAGATTTTATGCAACGCTTTAGAATGAATTCAAGAATCACTAATTTTCTTGAAAAACATTCTTACAAGGATAAAGACTTTCAGATTCTTGACTTGCAAGAGAATCTCTTTGGTTAGGTGAATCATAATAAAATGGACAAGGTCACAGTGATTGAGTTGAAGAAATTGGTGGCAAATTCTGCCTCCTATAATATTACACTTTATAAAAGTGAGCACAGCTCTTCCTAACAAATTCTGTAAAAATATACTTTCCATACCAAACATCTAGTCTGAAGGTTATAGGTTACATTCTGGGCAACCACTGTTAAAACCAAATTTTGAAGGAGAACCTTGCCCTTTTCAACAAACAAACTTGTTAGAAACTAAATTTCCAGACCTCAAGTACAGAATATAGATACAGCTTAAATTTTGTCTTACAAAGTCAGCACTTATTGGTTATTCATTGTTGCGTGTTCTCAAAGGCCCTGAGTCAACTGTCTCTACTCAGTTAAATACTATTTGGACTTGTCCCTTATGGTTTCAAGCACAATTATTACAATATTTGGGGCTTACAAAAATTTTATTTATAACTAGCTTTTAATTTAACTAGATATTGTAAAAATTGGAAATTTGGAATATTCATTTCTTTGTCCTGTTGTAGGTGGCGCTCGTGTTTCCGAATAGTGACCCTGTGATGTTCATGGTTGCATTTTATGGGTGTCTCCTGGCAGAGCTGGTTCCTGTCCCCATAGAAGTGCCATTAACAAGAAAGGTAGCAAACCCATGGCTCAGGTCCCGTGTGGTTCGCTTCTGAACTTGATACCAGCAGTATCTTACTTCCTTTTCACTCATGTGGGCAGGCAGCAAGCAGCTGTTTTGACAGAGGAGAGAAAGCTAGTAGTCAACAGGCTGGCCAGGACTCAAGAGAAATCAGATGCCGTTTTGCCTGCCTCTCTTCTTGTTAATGAGAGGGGCACTGAGAACCGTTTTGCTGGTGATGCTCCCACACCACACTCTTATTAGGTGGAGCTGTTCTATCATCTACATGAATTTCCCAACAGAAATGATAGCCATTTTTTCCTCTAATGAATAGAATTATGATTCAATAAGATTTTGTTCAACTTTTCCTCAAAACCATATGTTTATAGAAAATAATTATTATTTCTTAGGGATAAATATATCATTACAGTGATATAGCTCACTTCTCAGTGGCAGTTTTGAATAAACGAGATGGAAATTATCTTGCATTTCTGTTCACTTATATGACCGTAGGCAGTTTCTGTTGCTGATAAATTATTAATGTGGGGTCTTGCTGATCTAGGTATCTGTAACATTTTTGATATAACTATCAATAATATGATTACTGAAAAAAAATAGACAAGGCATGAATTTGAGAAAATCAGTTTTCTGTCATCCTGTCCCAGAATTCAGGCAGTTGTTAACAGGAGCATTATCCAGAAATATTCAAGAATCCCAAAAGTAAAATTTGCAAATCAAACTAGTGTATCTCAAAGCATAATATGTGATGGGCAGGTATTTGAATGCAGTGGTTCTTAGGAGTAAAACTAGAGATTTGTCAAATTTATATGAAGAAAATGACAGAATACTGCTGAGGGACACAGAAGACTTGGCTACAAGGAAATGTGTTTCTGTGTGGAAATAATTTAATATCGTTGGTGACCAGGCCTCTCTAGATTAATTTGTAAATTTCAAACATGATTCAATAGAAATTTCAATGCCATTAACTTTGGAGTTTATTAAAAATGCTTCTAAATGTCATTTGTAAGAATAAACTTTGAGAAATTAGCCCATTAAACTTTATATTTCAACACAAATACAAACCAAAATTATCTTTTAAATTTAAACATAGTTGTCACATTTTCATGAACTATTTCCGTGAAAAGATCATATATATCAATAATGGGACTGAATTATTCTGGAAGTTTTATGAGGGATGAAAAAAAGATCTGTTCTCTGTGCATGGCCTGGAGCACCAAGGGTCTGGGGCTGTGGCTGCTGTGAGCACCCCACCCCACACGGTCACTCTGCTTTCTGCAGGATGCAGGCAGCCAGCAGGTTGGGTTTCTGCTGGGCAGCTGTGGAGTCTTCTTGGCCCTGACCACAGACGCTTGTCAGAAAGGCCTCCCCAAGGCACAGACAGGAGAGGTGGCAGCTTTCAAAGGTGAGGCCTCCCAAGGGAAGGGGAGTCAGTGTTCTGACTGTGGTCTGTGTTAAATGCATGGTGTTCCAGAAATTAAACATGACAGAGGTGTCTGGGTCTTCAGCAAAAGTGATCCCTTGTTCGAGTCCTTGGTGAATCTCGGTTTTCATCTGGCTTCATGTCTCGACCTGTACTGTCTAATGTGGTAGCCACTGGCCGGATGTACCTTTTTAAATTATATAAAATGAAATGAGACTAAAACTTGCACTCCTTATTCGCTCAGTAGCTAGTGCTGCATGTTGGAGGCGCAGGCTTCGAGTGTGGGGAGCAGATGCCTCTGACTGCTTGCTGTTCTGTGTCCTGTCTGTGTGTCACAGGTTGGCCCCCGCTCTCCTGGCTAGTGATTGATGGGAAGCATCTAGCCAAGCCCCCAAAGGACTGGCACCCTCTGGCCCAGGACACAGGGACTGGGACTGCCTACATTGAGGTAATGACTGTTCCTAACTTAGAGAATGTAAAAACATGTCCCACAGGCTTAAGTCTTGCTTTTCATAAGAATGTAAGTTGCTATTCTTTTTTGTTAAGTTTCGGCCTAAGAGTTCTTGTTTTATCTCTGCCCTGGAAATACAGAGTGTCATATAAATCCTTGCTCAGATCCTTCCAGGTTTCTCTCTCATCTAATTCTCTCCTAACTGGCTCCCTGGGGATGCAGACAGTTATGAGGGAGCCCATGGCGCACCATTACCCTCGGGCACCTGCCCAAGAGGAGCCACAACTTCCACTGAAGCATCCCCTCAGCGGCCAGGGTTTTGCCATGTACCTGGGCTGCTGGTTAGAGGCCGATGGTTAGAGGAGAGACACTGACCACTTCTTCTTTTGAAGATTCTACCAGTTTCCATTCTGTCTGTTGTCACCTCTAGAAATACCACATCATGTTTTTTTCCTTGAAATCTTTCAGTATAAAACCAGCAAAGAAGGCAGTACGGTGGGGGTCACAGTGTCCCACGCATCCCTGCTGGCACAGTGCCGGGCTCTGACCCAGGCGTGCGGGTACTCAGAAGGTAAGGGCTCTCGGGGGTGGGGCGGTGGCCCCTCCAGCCTCACACAGATACCTGACGTACCTAATCATGTGACTGTCACTGCACCTGTCAAAACCACCCCTGGGTAGTGCCTTTGCCCATTAATCCGGGTCATGCCAGGTAGGGAGATGCACTGTCTTTAGCATGCTTACAGGGTCTCTGTGGTTGTGCTGGCCAAGAGGGCACACGGTGTCTCTTAGCAGAGTCCAGACAACCCCATCAGGGTTGTTTTCAGTAAATGCACATGGATGTTGATTTTATGGAACATGGAACCTATATCCCACTGATTGATTTATACACAGTGCTGGGTTCACAGGCCTGCCCTGGGGGGCTGGCTTACTCTGTGACATACTGAGGGTCAGGGCATTTTTCATTCAAAAAGAGGAAAACACTTTTAGTTTTCTATTACTTTATCTATGACTGTAGTTTTGACCTCAGCTGTCATGGATATAAATATATAAGTAGAATCTTTATGGTTATAGATGATCTGTTGATAAAGTATAGTCAGCACCTGATTTACTTCAAATGTCAGATACTTAACTTGAGATATCTTTAAATTAATATTATTTAATTGATAAGTACTAATTGTATATATTTATGGGGTACACTGTGACAATTTTAAAAACTGTAAAAATGGACTCAGTAGTTTTCTTACATTGTAATACTAGAATTGAACAAAACTACTGAGTGAAATTGAATGGTATGTCTAAATATCTAAAATATAGGTGTTCAGGCCAGGTGCAGTGGTTCATACCAGTAATCCCACCACTTTGGTAGGCTAAAGCAGGAGGAACACTTGAGGTCAAGAGTTTGAGAGCAGCCTGGACAACATAGTGAGACCCTGTCTCTACAAAAAAAGGGAGAAATTTTAAATAGAATTTTTAAAAAAGAAAAAAATATAGGTGTTTAAAAGCAAGGGTATAAGTTGAGGGCACAGCTAAAGCTTTTACTTGAGATTTGGAAAGTGATTTTAGGTATTTTTTAAGGGCTTTATTAAAAAAGTTAGATCTTTCAGATCAAGCCCCGTGACTTTCTTTGTCTTCAGCTCAGAGCTGATCTTACATATGTCACCTACAATTTGGGTTCTTTAGCCAGGCGTGATGATGTGTGCCTATAGTCCCAGCTACTCGGGAAGCTGAGGTAAGAGGACCGCCTGAGCCCAGGAGTTTTGGGCTGTAGTGGGCTGTGCTAACCAGGTATCTGCACGAAGTTTGGCAGCAACATGGTGACCTTCTAGGAGTGGGGAACCACCAGCTTGCTAAGGAGGGGTGAACCGACCCAAGTAGGAAAGGGAGCAGGTCAAAACTCCCATGCCAATGAGTAATGGGATTGTGCCTATGAATATTCACTGCACTGCAGCCTGGCAACGTAATAAGACCTCGTCTCTAAATAATAATGATAATAATTTGTGTTCTTAACCAACAGAGAAAGGGTGTTTATAGTACTGTTATTCATGGTGCAACAGCATTTCCTGGCACACAAATCAAACCTCTCCTGTTTGCCTTTGGAGTGCTGTGGCCTTTGGCGAGAAGCCAGGTCTGCCCACAGCCCCAGGCTCTGTCCTTTCTGCCTGTGCAAGGTGGGAGCCGGATATTAGAGAAGACTTGGCCAGGGGCTCTGAGCAGAGAGCTGTGCTGGGAACCCTCAGGACCCCTATCCACTCCAGCTTCCTAAGATGTGTTAGCTGCATACCTCTGGGTGAGAAAACGGGCAGAGGAAGAGTGACTTTCCGAAGGGTGATGCAAACCACCAGCTCTTACAGAGGGGAGATGCCGGATCACGGCCTCTGGGTGTGAGAATTGAGGAGATGTGGTGTAGAGTTGAGAAGTAAGAATATCCCTGACAGTTTTTCATCCCCACCTCTTGATTCTGAGAAGAATACCCACTCAAAAATATCTGATGAGAAGATGTGGAGAGGCCGAGTGCGGTGACTTACACCTGTAATCCCAGCACTTTGGGAGGCTGAGACGGGCAGATCACTTGAGGTCAGGAGTTTGAGACCAGCCTGGCCAACGTGGTGAAATCCCTTCTCTACTAAAAATACAAAAATTAGCCAGGCATGGCAGCGCATGCCTGTAGTCCCAGCTACTCGGGAGGCTCAGACAGGAGAATTGCTTGAACCTGGGAGGCGGAGGTTGCAGTGAGCTGAGATTGCTCCATTGCACTCTAGCCTGGGCAACAGAGCAAGACTCTGTCTCAAAAAAAAAAAAAAAGAAGAAAAGACAAGCTGTGGTGACACCTTGTATAGCTTCTTCAGTATGTGATGTTCCTGTGCCTTCTGATTAGTGCTCAGCGTGGTTCTCTGTGTTAGTTCCATGACCTTCTACTTTTATGTGTTTCCAGTAATTTGAATAGATAACCAGGATTATTATTAATTGGTATGTGGTATTTGGAAATGCTGTATCTGTTCCTGAAACTTACATGTTGATGACGTACTCACCTCAGAATTTCTCTAGAAAATGCATAGGGCTTATTGAGAGGGTTGCTCAGTGGTGTCACCTTCTTTGTCCACTTGCAGCTGAAACATTAACAAACGTGCTGGATTTCAAAAGGGATGCTGGTCTGTGGCATGGCGTGTTAACAGTGAGTGTTGTTTGCTGATGACTAACTGTTGGAACAAGGGATTGAGATGAACCCAAGCCTCTGCCTGAAATGTTGTTGGGAGAGTACATCGGTTTTGTTTTGCTTTTTCTGGTGTGGCTCGGGCCCACTCGCCCTAAGCATGTGTGCTCCCCCACAGAGCGTCATGAACAGGATGCACGTGGTCAGCGTCCCCTACGCGCTGATGAAGGCGAACCCACTCTCCTGGATCCAGAAAGTGTGCTTCTATAAAGGTAACGGATACCATGGTCAGGGCCTTCACCCTTCTTTAGGGAAATCTCTTTGAACTGACCTTTGGTGCTTAAGAAAAAATAAAGCTGACATGTGGAACTGCAGATGTAGGCTGAAGAGCTGTGGGACGTCTTTCTTGGTCACACCCCTGCCCAGGAATATGGGGGCTTTCTCTGCCTCTGGCATGGCCCTCAGGGTTTCGTGGGTGATGTGGTAAGTAGGGCCACTTGGTGGGGTCTGGGCCTTACTTCTCTCAACGGTTGAGGTGCCTCCTGGGACCAAGCAGGAGGCCCCAGCATGGCCACACCTGCACAGTTGGCAGTCTGTGTCTCTGCCCTGTGGAGCTCAGTGGCACTTCTACCAGCCACTGAGGCACTGGATCACCTGGGTCACCCATGTTGCCTTGTTCTACCTACTGGGCTGTGCCCCTCTAGACATGTCTCAGAGCAGTGTGGAGGGGCAGCTCTCTCTGTCTGTCCTACTTTATGGAGGGAAACTGAAGCTTGGGTAGGGGTGGGGGGATTGCTGGATTCCACATGCTAGCCAGTGCAGGGGCCAGACTGAGGCCTGAGACCATCTGTTTAGCTTCTGGGGTCCTCACACTTCTCAGCCAGCACCAGGGGTTTGGGGAAGGACAACATGAGATGAAGCGGGCAGATAGGAAAAGAGCAATATGGAGCTTCTAAGAAAAAATTAATGTTGGAAATGGATCTGAGGTTTTGATGTCTAAATTGTACCTCAGAGTTGATTTTTGTGGAAAAAGCTTTGAGGGTTTGTTAGACTGCATGTGAGAGACGGCTGCAGAGAGCTTGTGACCTGGGAGCTAAGTGTTGTGTCTGTCTGTGCATGTACACCTCTCTGTGGGATGAGGTACACGTGTCTGTAGGCGTGTGAGGGTGCCAGTCCTTGTGACGCAGGGATGTCTGTGCCATCCTCTCTCTGCAGCTCGGGCCGCGCTGGTGAAGTCGCGAGACATGCACTGGTCTCTCCTAGCTCAGCGGGGCCAGAGGGACGTCAGCCTCAGCTCACTGCGCATGCTGATTGTGGCCGATGGTGCCAACCCGTGTGAGTGAGCCTGTGTGCCCGGCGCATACCCCACACAGTGTCCCCTCCTGCAAACCAAAGTAGAATACACTGAGAAGCAAAATGGAGGCATTTTCACTGCCATTGTCATATAGATACACATGTCCCATCGTTTCTATGACACGGAACATCTTGGTGATTCACTGGTTTATCCCATGCATGTTTATTAGGCCACTAAATTTAAAAGCAATTTTAATATGCTTGATGAAAGGTACATGCCTTAATGAGAGTCATCTTTCTTAAGAAATTACCAGATTGTGCTGTGGCCTGGGGTTCCTGTTTCTCTTTAGGCCTCATCCCCACCCTCCTGCCCTTTGTCCTGGTGCCCCCACGTCTCTGGCTTCTGGCTTCACTTCTCCCACCAGGACCCAACCATTCTCCCTCCTGGTTTGCCTGGGTGTCCCCCACATCCTCCCAGGAGGAGCTCCCTATGGCTGCTGCCTGACCACGTAGGGCCTCCTGCGTACGGTGGTCTGAATGGGAACTGCTTTGTCAAGGCTGCACACGTGAGCTCTGGGGCCCAGGACTGTCCAGGGTCTGACTCAGTACCTCCTCTGGGGAAGCCTCAGGTGATGCTGGTCACACAGGGGCTCCTGTTGCAGCACACACCTGTTGACCAGGTATTAGGGGTTTTCTTGTTTGTTAACCTGCATCATTGTCTATGCACTGGAGACTACCCTGCATCAGAAGCTGATGTTTCATCTTATCCCCTCTCCAGTGTGGCCGACACCCCATCTCTTGGGAGGTCACCCCACCTTTGAGCACCCCCAGAGCCTCTCATTCTCTTGGTCCACACCTGAGCCAGGCAGGGCCTGCTTCTGGGTTCTGCAGCACTGCTCAGGTCTCTGCGTCTCCACCCCAGGCGCACCGCCACTCCGTGGTCCCCATGGTGGAGTCAGAGTGTGCACCTCCTCTCCAGTGCCTCTTCCCATGGCACTCCCCTGTTGCTGCACCTGATCCTTGCAGTGCCGTGCAGCTTGTCTCCCACCACATGCAGCACCTTCCTGTCCCTAGTGATGCCCCTTCTGCCCTTTGGAGCACCAGACCATCCATGGCTGTCTGATTTCCTTTAAAGATACCATCTTCCTTGAAGAACATGAAGTCTGAGGGTACCTGTGAAGGGGCCCCTTCCTTCTGCTGATGCAGCCCTGTGGTTCCGATGGCCGCAGGCTGCGCTAACTTGAGCATGTCCAGCCACCCCTTCCCTGCTGGCCCCCCAGTTAGTGCTGGCGTTCCACTCTTGTTGCTCTGTGCAGGGTCGATCTCCTCCTGTGACGCCTTCCTCAACGTCTTCCAGTCCAGAGGTCTGAGGCCAGAGGTCATCTGTCCTTGTGCAAGTTCTCCTGAGGCGCTGACTGTCGCCATCCGCAGGTAACCTTATTCCTTGCTATGTCTCATGAGCACTTAGTTGAATCTTCTGCATACAGCTGAGTTATCCTGGAGCTGTGCCTGTGCCTGTTAGGATCCAGGCCCATTTGTGCAGTAGTACCTTGGTGCCTGGCCCCCCACATTTTGCCGGCTTGGGTTTGTGTGGAGAATTGGGTAGGAACTTCCTGGGCCATACTCTGGATTCTTGCAGAATGCCGGCTTGCGATTTTCCTGAGTGCTTCCCAAATTAGAAAGGCCTTGTCATCTCGTCTGTAGCTGTGGTAAACATTACAACCTAGGAACTCTTTCTTACTCTGAGGCAGGTGTCGGTCAGCCGTGGAGTCTGTGGGAACCACTGACCTGCCTGGAGAAGCACCCGGCCTGGTGCTTAGTGCCCGGCCACCCACCTCCCGGGAGGCCTGTGCTGCTCCTGTGGCGGTTTCCCTCATGTCATGTTTCTCAGCCTAGAGGGCATGTTGAGCCTGCAGACTGCCCTGAGTGTCCTTGTGTGTGGGTGCGGGGCTGCTGGTCCTTCCTGTGCTCCTCACTCCCCTCCTGAGGTTTCCTTTCCCCTCTTCTCACCTGCCCCACTCCCAGCTCCATCCTGTGGGTAGAACTCAGTGTGCTCACAGCTGAGGTGTCTTAGCCTCAATTGTAATCTTGTATTATAGTCATATATTCATAAATGGTATGTGTTTCCATATATGGAACTAACCCTAAGTTTTTAAAAGTAACCCTAACTTGGCTGGGCACGGTGGCTCATGCCTGTAATCCCAGCACTTTGGGAGGCCGAGGCAGGTGGATCACCTTAGGTTAGGAGTTCGAGACCGGCCTGGCCAACATAGTGAAACCCCATCTCTACTGAAAATACAAAAAATTAGCCAGGCGTGGTGGCAGGTGCCTATAGTCCCAGCTACTCGGGAGGCTGAGGCAGGCGAATCGCTTGAACCCAGGAGGTGGAGGTTGCAATGAGCCAAGATCATGCCATTGCACTCCAGCCTGGGCAACAAGAGTGAAACTCTGTGTCAAAAAAAAAAAAAAAAAAAAGTTACCCTATTTAATCACTTAACATTAAAAAAACGCTATTGTCGTCTACAAACTATAAATTATTCTTCATTCTTTTGTTCTATGGTGATTTGTTTTGCACAACTGTGTAATTTTTTTCATATTGGAGGAAACGCCTGTTGCTCAGTATTCCAGTTACTATTGTTGTATCACAAACAACAACAGTCATTTTATTGTCTCTCATGCTTTCTGTGGGCCAGGAGCTTAGGAAGGCCTCTGCCAGGTGGTTCTGGCTTGCAGGAGATGGTGTTTGGAGGGAGCGGTGAGGGGCTGAGACAGCTTTGTGTGTGTACATCTCAGGCCCCCACCTGGTCTCTCAGAGTGAGCTGCTCTGGGCTTCCTTGCAGTGCAGTGGCCTCAACACCGTCCTTCTGTTTGCCGGGCTTCACAGGGCTCCAGGCGAGTGTCCCAAGACAATCGGGTAGAAGCTGAATTGACGTTACTGGCCTGCATTGGAAGTCACACAGCATCACAACCACTGTAGTCACAGGCCCTTTTCCCACTGAGTGGAGTGTCGACGTCACATTGCAGAGGGGCATGTAGTTTGGAGACATTGCAGCATCTTTAGAACATGCGTTTCTCACAAGTCTGTAACATGGAGCAGTGGCTTTGGTGCAGAATCATGCTGCAGGCAAGGTGGGCCCACCTCCCTGGAATTTCATCCCCCTCGTCAGTTAAACCCATGGTGGTTTTATTTTCTAGGCCACCTGATCTGGGAGGACCACCTCCAAGAAAAGCAGTCCTGTCGATGAACGGTCTAAGTTATGGTGTTATCAGAGTGGATACTGAAGAAAAGTTGTCAGTCCTTACTGTTCAGGACGTTGGTCAGGTGATGCCTGGAGGTAAGAGACATAACCAGAGTGGGTCTTTGTCCATGACTGATTGAGGTAACGAAAAGGGTTTTGTTTTGTTTTGAGACGGAGTCTTGCTTTGTCACCAGGCTGGAGTGCAGTGGTGTGATCTTGGCTCACTGCATCCTCCGCCTCCCAGGTTCAAGCGATTCTCCTGCCTCAGCCTCTTATAAATACTCCAGGCTTCATAGTAGTGCTCTAGAAGCAAGCATACAAGTAAAAGATTTCTCAAGAATGTTTTTCAGTGTAAATTGGAATTTTACTTTGTAAAATATTTGCTCAGTTTTTTCCCTCCCTTTGTGCTAAGTTTAAAGATGAGCTAAAATATAAAGATGTGTATATGGCCTATGCAACTCACTTACAGTTCTTTGATATTTGGGAAGACGGTGATAATAGCTCACTGTGTTCCAGGCACAGGCTTCATACTTCATATGTGTTGAAGCATTTAACCCCATGGCAACCATGTGAAGTGGGCAGCTCTGAGGAAAATGGTAATGTTTGTGAATAACTTGATAATTAGGTTATCTAAGTAAGTTCTAGCAAGCATGTGTTAGATAGAAGCCTCATGGAAGCTTCCCAGAAATTCCTCGATGTCAGAAAGGCCTATGTGAACTCTTCTGCAGAAGTTGGCTCTGTAGGCCTGACCGTCATGTTAGATGTTGGAGGTTTTCCTTGCTGGCCTGAGGCAGAATCTGGCCTGGGAGGCCCTGGTGACATTCGAGTGGGGACACTGCCACGTGGTCTGAGGCTGCCCTCCTTGTAGCCACCCCACAGCTACTTCAGCTTTCCTGCCTCCCTGTGATGGCCCTTCTGGGGTTCACGGGCAGCTGTCAGGGCCCCTTTTGGTGACTTCTAGAGGCAGGACCCCATCTGTCAGTGCAGTCTCCCCCCTTCCAATGCGGCCCTGACTGTGTTAGGGGTTGCAGGCACTGCGAGAGGCTCAGCGTCCTGGCCCTTGTGCCTGCAACTCTGCCTCTTGCAGGCGGCTGTGCTAACCGGCTGTGGCTGCTCAGGTGCAGACCCTGTCTGTGGGTGGTGCTGGCAGCCCAGCCATCTCTAACCTGGAGCCTGGGGCCAGCTGGTGCCTGATCCCTGTGTGTGCACAGATGCTGGGTCCTCATTGAATAAGACTGAAGTATTTCAGCCTGTGTTTCTAGCTCTACTTGTTACTCATACAAATGGCATCATTTTTTTCCTGTAATTCTACTGAGAAATAGAACAGTCAGTCTTGCACGGTGCTTGAACCTGTCGTAAAATAATTCTCCTGAGAAATAGAACAGTCAGTCTTGCACGGTGCTTGAACCTGTCGTAAAACATTTTCACAGACAGCAATCATTGGGGTGTCACTTATTTACTCATGGGGAAAATACAGGTAAGTGTTTAAACTTCCCTGGAAAATCATGATGAGGTCATGATTCTGAATGAATCTTAGGAACATCTGTAGTTGTGCGCGTTTTATTTGTAAAATGTGGATTAGGACAGGACATGCGTGCACAGCGCTCCCGTAGGCGTGCACGCAGCACACCTCCTCCCCCGGGCGTGCACACAGCGCTCCACCAGACGTGCATGCAGCGCACCCCCCTCCCCCAGGTGTGTGCATGCAGCGCTCCCCCTCTGCCAGGCGCGCGTGCAAAGCGCTCCCCCAGGCACTCCCCCAGGTGGACCCCTGTTTCCCATGACCCTCCACAGCCCCCGGGCTGTACCCCTTGTTGTGGGACTGAGCCCCATGGTGAATCCTACGGGTGATTTGTTTGCAGCAGTTTTTCAGTCTGCCCTGTGTAGGCCTGTGTTCACTACTGTATCAAGTGTGTATGTGGTGCTTTGTGGCTTTTCGTGACCTTGCCCCATCTCTGCATGTGCTTGTAAGTGTTGTGTGGCACTGATGGCTGCCTGGATGGCCACCTGGAAGCACAGACAAGCACCACCTTCCACATCAGCCAAGCACCACCTTCCACATCAGCCAAGCATGGCTGCATTCTCTCTGCAAAGTCTTTTATCTGATTTGTGGCAAAAGGAAGCAAATATCTGGTTGTCTCTCTCTTTCTTTTTACTGTCTTTGGAGATGAGAATATATTAGAAAAAAACTCAAGAAGAGGCACAGAAGGACAGTTCCTAGCTGACCCAATGGGTTAATTGATTGCTAAGTAACCAAGTTTCATTTAATGGACCACAGCCCATTCATTTGTGCATCTCATGCTTTTGTGTGAGGCTGTTTCTGGAGGCCTTTCTGTGGCAGAGCTGAGGACTAGGCAGATGAGATCCCTTGTGGGAGGCGAAGGCAGCAGGTCACCGAGAGTTGGGTAGGGTGCACTTAAGTAAAAACAGAACTGGGTGATGGGGCTGTGGGAGGAGTCACACTGAGGCCTGAGACATCGTGCTCCATGAAAAGGCGCACATGTACAAATTGGCCCCCAAATGCGGAAAGGCCGAGAAATTGAAGAACGAGGCAGACAGGTCGTTTGTCAGTAGAGGGTGGTTCATTGGGGAACTTACAGATAGAATCCTGGTCTTGAGTGGCTGCAAGACAGGTAGATCTCTGCACCGCAACCCTCCAGACCCAGGGCCTTTGTCTTGGGGAAAAACATCTGCGCTCTGGAAAGAATGTGCACATGGCTGAGGGAGTGCCCTGGGCCTCATAGCCTGTAGTGTGTGCAGCAGCATCAAGGTTGTTTTGGAAGTTAGGCAGAACTTAAAATGAACAGGTATTTCTCCATGAAGATATCCTAGAGGCACTCCTTGACTTAAGATTAGTCTGGAGTCACATGGCAGATTTGCATTTAAAATAAGGTTACTAGAAAGGGGGCAGGCATGGGCAGAGTTCTGTCAGGCTCTGGAGCAGGAGATGGTGTCCCGGGCTCGTGTGTGGTGGTGATGGTCAGGAGCCAGGGCCAGCAGCACCCCATGTGGACCCGAGAGGGCAGTATGACAAGAGGAGGCACAGGGTTTATTTATCGTAGTACAGGAAATATTTTGTCAGCCGGGGCTTATTACATGAAGGATGTGTTGTACTTTCTGGTCACCTTACATTGATTATAAAAAATATTACATATAAAATATAAAGACTTACAGCTAGGTAGCATGTGTATCATCTGTGTCATAAAACTCCTTATAAGAAGGTGCTGTGTATATAACATCCTGTTTCCATAACCGCACATACAGCAGCAAGGAGATCTTTGTGAGTGATCCATTTAAACACGTTCTTGATAATTTTGAGTTTTTTTTCTCATTTTAGCTAATGTATGTGTTGTGAAGTTAGAAGGTACCCCTTATCTTTGTAAAACTGATGAAGTGGGAGAAATATGCGTCAGTTCCAGTGCAACTGGCACAGCGTACTATGGATTGCTTGGAATCACGAAGAATGTGTTTGAGGTTTGTCCCTTTTCCTGACTTTCATGTTGAAGTTAAGTTGCATGAGCACTCATGGGGTCCCAGGTGTGCTGGGTGCTGGGGGATTGCAGAGGCTGCGGGGATGGTCTCCTTCCACACAGGCGCTGCTGGGGCTGTTGGCACATGGCCTGCACACCCCTGTGTGTCCTCCCAGAGTGAGGGCAAGGCCAGTACCAGGACCAGGCATGCTGTGGAGGGCTGGGAGTCAGCGTGCTTCCCACAGTCCTGCATGGGAGGAGGGTGTGTGGGTGCGGCCTGGTGGCCAATAGGAAGGCACTCACCGTGGCCCCAGGGAAACCAGCCCTCTGCTATATTTGCATTGTTGTGATGTGAGTTGTTCAGGACAAGTCTAGGGAGGCCAGGCACCCAGAGCAGAGGTAAAAGGGATGCTTGTTTCCTGCCTCAGGAGGCCTGCCCAGGAGATTGAGCAGCCAGGCCACAGAAACTGGGCCTATGCAGGGCCAGCCTCCTTTTTCCCCCTGGCCAGCAGGCGCACACGTGGTGCTGAGCCTCCTGCCGCCTGCTGGGTCTTTTTGGCCAGTTGGTTGGTTGTCCACAGCCTGATCGTGCCCCTCTCCACTTTGTGCAGGCAGTTCCGGTCACCACAGGAGGAGCACCCATCTTTGACAGGCCATTCACCAGGACAGGCCTGCTGGGCTTCATCGGGCCTGTGAGTATGTCCTCCTGTACCAGCACTGGCAGTCAGAGAAGGTAGGGGGTGTGGCTAAGGGACACCTCGTTGCAGCCCCACCCTTGTCCTGGCCGTTCCTGACCTCCCATGTGGCCTTGGTCGGTG